>NC_000010.11:85143095-85294610 GCF_000001405.40 Homo sapiens
TAGGCGCAAATGTTCTTGCAAGGGCATGAATTAAAAAAAAAAAAAAAAACATTTCAGGCAAACAACCAGCAAGTATGAGTGTCAAAAACTAGAGAGCATCTCAAAAACTAGAGAGCAATTGGTATTACCTCAGAAAGTCATCAGCATACCAAAATGTGTCAAAATTGAAAGCACCAGAGAAATCACTTTGGCAAGTATAAGAAAAAGCACGAGGCTGCAATAAATTCTATTCAATACTGGACATGGGGTTGCTGTCTTACAGGCTTTGGGGTCCCATTCACTCAGGTGCACATGTTTCCACTTCTTGGTATGACTTCAAGATCTCAAAATTTTCCGAAAAACATACTTTTCTTTCCTTTTAAATGAATTAGTTGGGCCAATATTAACTGTTGTAATAAAATACAATATTTCAGTGCTTTAAGACAATAGAAATGTATTTCTTGCTCATGAAACAGTATAATGTGGATGTTCCTAGTGCAGAGGTGACTTTGTCCAGACAACAATAAGAGAACCCAGGCTCCTTTCCAACTTAGGGTTTCACCTTCCCCTTGAGTGTCAGAGTCCTTGACAACTAGCCAATAGATGAGGAAATACAAGATGAGGAGAACACATCTTCATCTTAACTGCCTTTGATCAAAAGGAATAAGCAGCACTTCTACTCATAGATCTTTAGCAAGGTCTGGTCACGTGGCCTCATGTAGATTTAAGGGGTCGGGGAGTCAACAACTCTAATCTCTGGATGCTCATCCAATTTCCAGCATGGATTCAATAGCAAGCTGATTTTCTTCATTCCTTGAGCTGTGGCCTGAATGTTTGTGTTCCCCCAAAATTGACATGTTGAAACCAAATCCCCAATGTGGTGGTATTAAGAGGTGGGGCCTTTTGAAAATGAATGAGATTCGTGCTCCTATAACAGATGCCCAAAGGAGCTTGTTTGCCCCTTCTGCCATGTGAGGATGCAGCAAGAAGGTGAGTGCATCTGTGCAGCAGAGAGCAAGCCCTTATTAGACATAAGATCTGCCAGCACTTAGATTTCCCAGCCTTTAGAACTATAAGCAATAAATTTCTGTTGTTTATAAGCCACCCAGTATATGAAATTTTTGTTGTAGCAGACCAAACAGACTGACACCTTGTGTTATGGTTTGGCTCTGTCCCCACCCAAATCTCATCTTGAATTCTCACGTGCTGTGGGAGGGACCCAGTGGGAGGTAATTGAATCATGGTGGCAAGTCTTTCCCATGCTGTTCTTGTGATAGTGAATAAGTCTCATGAGATCTGATGGTTTTATAAAGAGGAGTTCCCCTGAACAAGTTCTTTCTCTTTGCCTGCTGCCATCCTTGTAAGATGTGACTTGCTCCTCCTTGCCTTCCGCCATGATTGTGAGGCCCCCCCAGCTATGTGGAACTGTAAGTCCATTAAACCTCTTTCTTTTGTAAATTGCCCAGTCTTGGGTATGTCTTTATCAGCAGCATGAAAACAGACTAATACTCCTTGTTAGGTGGTTTCGAATACTGAAACTAGCCTCACTGTGAAATGTCCTTTTATATGCATATAATGATTTTGTACTACATAATAATGGAAAAATGGCCCAGAAGGTCTTCTCCTAAGACATCTCAGCCTGAGTGAGCCCTGCTTTTAGCCATGGTCTTGTCTTGCATGTCCTGCTTGAAATTACGATACAGAATTAATTCACTTGGCGACAAAAGATGACTCTCATAACATTAAATTAACTAGCTTTTTTTCTTCAAAGCTTTCCAGGAATTTCATTCTAAAGGGCTTGGTACTTATTTTGGTTCAACACAATTTTCAACAATGTGTAAACAAATGAAAGTTTATTAAATAGATTTTTAAAATAATTGTTTTGCAAATGTAATGCAGAAACCACATCTGAAATGGGTAGGCTGGAAAGGCTGGATTCTTGGAGCTAGATATTCATGTGGCCTACCAGACTGCATAAATTCCTGGGTATGGTGTGGTTCTACAAATTTTGTACTTAAAAGTGAAGTTAATGTGTGTGTCCAGGCCAGGATGTTACTGGAACATTCTCCTTCCGGATCCTGGCTGGTGACTAGAGGTTGCTAACGTGATGATTGTGAAGTTCTCTGAGACTTTGCAGCAGGAGAGACACCATCCATTGCTGTAAACAGCTCAATTGGGGATCAGGGTTTCGCTCTACTTGGAAAGCCAGTGGCTCTCTTGGGAGTAGCTACCTAGTGCTGCAACTTGAATAACATCTCACCTCTCTGCTAAACTTGAAATGGCAGCAGTCGGTCTTACTGTGTCATATCAAGAAAAGTTATACTCTGCATCAGCGCTGAGAAAAGCTTGATCTGCCACTGACGTTGACTCTGCCAAGACATCAATTTTGTGAATTTTAGTGACGCATGTGTGGCATTTATTGTGGACATATTTAGATTTATATTCCACATCCATTTTAATGATTGTGAACTTTGAGCACTGGCTATTTTTTATTGAGTGCTTACTATGTGCTTGACACTGTAATAGGTATTTGTGAACATAACACATTCTAATTTATATCTCACAATAACTTTATGTGAGGGTAATATATTGTCCCCATATTACAGAAGAGAAAAACAACTAAGGCTTGGAGATGTTTTGATTCTTGCTCAAGGCCATAAAACAATCAAATGGCAAAGCTGTGTTTCCAGACCCAGCTTGACCAGGCCCAGAGCCTGAGCACTAGCCTCAAGATGAAACAGCACTGGCATCTCAAATGTTGCTTTCTAATTTATTTGCCCAGTTCATAGTTATCGAAGAGGTACAGGGCTAAATGTTGAGAATATAGCAGAATACCAAAAAGATAAATTTTAAGTTAAAATTACATACATAACGATTTAAATGCATTTGTGATAAGGTCTGTGGTGAAAAGCTCAGGGTGCTGTGAAAAGATAGAGGTGGGAGACAAGGTTCAGTCTAGGACACGAGAGGTGTGCCTGAGAAGGGGCCACTGAAGCTGGGACCTAACGCTAGGTAGACATTCATCTCCAAAGGAGGACAAAGTGCATGCCAGGGAGAGGACGTCGTATGTGTGCAAGCCCTGAGAGAGGACTGGCTGGTAGAGATTTAGTAACAAGGAAGGTCAATGTCCCTGGACTGTGGAAAGCCAGGCAGAGTGGCCAGAAAGGGGGTTGATGAGGCAGGCAGAGCTGAGCTCAGGAAGAGCCACAGAATCCACACAGATGGTGGAGCAAAGGACAGACCAATTGCCAGACTACAGACGTTGTTGGAAATTCTGTAAGGTTGAATGTTACTGAGAGCTTTTGTTTTTGTTTGTTTTTTAAAAAACTAAACATACATAATCTTTTACAGTGCATTAAACCTTTGTGACAAGGTATTTTCCATAGGACGAACCTGTTTTGTGCTCTCTTTTAGAATATTAGGGGCCGGTCCTGGTGGTTCACACCTGTAATCCCAGCACTTTAGGAGGCCAAGGCAGGAGGATCGTTTGAGCAGCCTAGGCAACATAGTGAGATCTGGTCTCTCCAAAATTTAAAATAAAAAACATTAGCCAGGCAAGTTGCATGTGCCTGTAGTCCTAGCTACTTAGGAGGCTGAGGCAGGAGGATCACTTGAGCCCAGGAAATTGAGGCTGCAGTGAGCTATGATTGCATCACTGCACTCCAGCCTGGACAACAGGGCCAGACCCTGTCCCCCACTCCCCCAGGCCCCAAAAAAGAAAAATTCAAAAATAAATTAATTAATTAAGTGAAAATGAAATGCTCAAAGTTTCACCGGTAGTCAGAAAATCAATTAAGGCATATTTCCCAGAATAGTGTGTTAGAAAACATCATATTATAGAATATAAAACTGGATATATGAGCTATGCTGTTTTGTATGATAAAATTGCTAAAAATCAGAATGTAATTACACATGGTAAAATTAAAACTATAGTAAACATAATTTTCTTCAAGGTTTCCAGTTAAATATAGTTATAATTAGTACATAGCATCTTCTCTTTCATTTTTTTTCCAACTTCCCACCAAAAACACAACTGATGACATGAGACAATGGAACAAATGAACAAAATCTTACCTACAATTAAAAACACCAATTTTTAGACATCCTGAAATCTGGAAACCCTCTAGATAATAATTATTTATTGAACATCTGCTAAATACTGTGTTAAACACTTTATATTTGAAATTTTCCAACAACCCTATCACATAGGACTTTTAATTTTTGAATCTTAAATGATGAAAGTAAAGGCTAAGAGTTTAAGTAAGTTGTCTAAGTTTATACAACTGGTGAGGGGTGGAACTAGGTTCTGGTGTCTGTGCTGTTGACCACAACACCCCACAACTTCACCCATGGGGAGAGCAGAGCCATCAGTGCTCTTAAACAGGTTACCAAAAACATTTTTGCCCAGCTTGCCAATTTCACCCAGTCCTAGTCAATGCTATTGTCTTTAGTCTCTACATAAATGCCAACTTACTCTCCAGAGAGCCAGGGTTTAGCATGTGCTTCATTCAGTGAGCACAGGCTATTGCTATTCTTCCTTTCTCTTTCCTTTTCTGCATCCACTATTTCTAGAAAGAGCTGGCCCACCCTCTTTTCTGCAGGGCTGCAGCCCAAATGTGGCCTGAAGTATTCAAATCTGAGACTGAAGCACCTTCTCCTCTAGCACCCTTGTTTCATTTATAATATTCCTCTTGTGCTGAGCTGAGATGCTAGATAAATCCCATCTGTTCTTCTAGCTCCTTGTCACCTTTACTGCAGCAGAAAGGAACAGAATGGATGGGGCTGAGTCCTGATCTGTCTCTCCCACTAGGTGAGGCAAGCTGGAGGATGACAGGCTATTTCAGGTGTTGAGAGAGAGCTCAGTGCAGCAGAGAGAATATGACACAGCTCCTGACAGGTCCTTGGAGCTGAGGTATCTTATTTAGTTGTATTCACACCACAGGTGTTTTCCTGAGTATGCAAACAGTTGCGCAAGGCAGGTCAGCTTGAGAAGAGAAGTGCAGAGCTGTCCTTTAGTGATGCTCTGTGCCCAACACCTCACACCTGAGATTCTGCAATGGCTGTGATGGTTCCTGACCTGGCCAGTGTAACACTTCTGAGTCAGGTGAGTGCATGAACAGTTGTGATATGCTTGTGTGGTGTTGTCTTTTCAAAGTTAGGCATGTTCAGAGATGCAGAATTAGGATAAAAGAGAAAAGTAATCTTTCACTGTCTTTGCGGAACTCCAAAAAAACTCCACAAAGATCTTTTTGCAGTTAGACTGATCAGGAACAGAGGACTTATAGGGAGGGAAAAAGTTCTATAAATGTGAAGAAATTTTACTTGTTAAAAGAATTGAACAAACATGGCCTTGTTAATAAAATTTGTCTATTAGTATAGGAATTTTGTGGTGAGCATCCTTTGCAGTCACTGCGCGTATTCTTTAGATTGCAAAAAGACATGATTTATTAAGATCATGTAGGAGTTCCTGAATCACTAAAAAGCAAGGAGTGCAGCCCTTTCTCCAGCATCAGCTCGTGGCAGCACCAGCAACAGGCAGTAGAAAACCAAGGATTAAAAAGTCAAGAGATTATTAGCTTGTGACCACGGTCATTCCTTAACAACAACAAAAATTAACTTGATAACACTCTTGTCAAATCTTCGCATATCCCTTCTACTTCCACTCTGAGCATTCTTGTCCTCTTGGATGTGGTCATTTGATTTCTTCCTAACACTTCACATAAAACACTCTTGCCAAGGTTCCTTATTTCTGCCTCATTGCCTAATCCAGGGACTCCTGTCAACACTTGACGAAGAGTGCTCTGCAGCCTTTGTTACCGTTAACCATTCTTCAGTGTTCTTTGAAGTGATCCTAGCATTTTCCTTCTTTTGCTTTAAGTAGCACTCTATTTCCAGGCTTCTTGCTGTGTTGGGCACCGACCTATTTGTTTTTCTGGCATTCTCTTTCCTGAGAGTGGTCCCTTCCTCTCCAAACCTCACCAACACAGTTGGCCATGGGCACAGTAGCAGTGATATCATACAGAATGGTTCGACTCCTGGCTAAACCCCACCCTCAAGCCTGGAATCTGGACCCTACGCGAAAACAGCTGACCCTGTTTTTCTGCCCAAATGATTGCCTTTTTGGCCTGCCACACCCCTATCCTGTACCCATAAAAAGACTTCAGCTGGCAGAGCAGCACAAGCGGCTGATGCAAGTGGTGGGGGATATAAGTTGCTGAGCCTCAGGGATACATGCGACTGAGCATCGGAGACTATGGATAGACTCGGCTAACTTCAGACCGAGTGGCTTCAGCGAAAGATCACTTTCTTCCCACACCATCCCCTTGCCAATTTCCCATCCTGCTGAGAGCCACTTTTATTGCCCAATAAAATCCTCTGCATATACTACCCTTCAAATAGTTCCTGTGACCTGATTCTTCCTGGACACCAAACAAGAACTCAAGTGTCAAGAAGGGCAGGTGCAGGCAGCTGTCACCCTGACTCTTTTCTGAGCTGTTAACAGTTAGCCATCCATGGACGGCAAACTGAGTGAAATAAGCCATTCCAGTTCCGGTCCACATAGGGGTTCAAGGTCTAGGGAACAATCCTGTCTCGACAATGTGGCTGTAGCCAGAGTTTTCTGGTACAGAGCTGAGAGTCTGACCCAAGTGAGACCAATCACTGTCTGTTTCTGGGAATTTTGGGATAGATCTGAGAAAAGATCTCTCATTGGATATTGAGTTATCAGATACAAACTGCAGGAACTGGCAGCAAGTTACCATGTGCACTAGAGAAATGGGTCTGCAACAAGACAGTGAAGGATAGAGCAGACACAGAGAGGAGAGAAGGAGAACATGATTGTGGGTGTTGGGAACCTGAGCCTTCTGCTTATTGTGAAATCTCTTTTACCTTTGCTTTCTTTCTAGAGATTGCAAAGAAAGAATGTAGAGGTTCTGAGTCATGGTAGCATGGGTCAATGGGAGAAGCTTAATGTCACTGCAATCATATGCCTAAAGGATTGGGAAGATGTTTAAAAGTAAATTTAGGTGTTCCTCCCAGAAGAAGGCAGAACAAATGCTAGGCAAATAGAAAAAACCGACGCTCCCTACATAGGAGCCTCATATTGACATCTTTTTTTTTTTTCCCACTGAAACTTCAAAATATTGGTATAGATGGATAGATCCAGGCTTAGAAAATAGACAGTTAGAGGTAAAGAAGGTTTAAAACCAAAGCAGTGCCCCACAGTGCATGTGTTCTTGTTGAACACAGCAGGGATTTTCCAACACCTTTGTTTTTCTTTATCCTGTGTTCTCTCCCTCCTTACTCCTTCCTCCTCCTCTTTTTCCTATTCTTTTTGCCTGACAGAAGAGATTGGGGGCATTTTTGTTTTTAAAATAAACTCTTTTTTAATACACATATGTTGTTTGTTAATAATAACAAACCCATACACAGACACTTTCCAAAGAGAACATAAAGCTTTTTGCAAGAAATGACGGGAAATCAAAGGTGGCATCTGACCACCCCAGATGGAAGTGATTTCCTCCTCTTGTGTATTTCTGTAGGGCTTATTGTCTAGGAGCATGGTTCACAGATTTGGTTCCTCATTAGAGAGAGCTGGGGATCTTTTTTAATGAACTCTTACCCAGAATCTTAATATATAAGCATATCTGCTCTGGCGAAATTAGAGAGAAAGGAAAACCCTCCCTCTCTTCCCAGACAAGTTCTTGGTGTTGGTTAGTAGAAAATACCCCATAGGCTGCTCTCTAATTGATTGAAAATAAACTATCATCTTTCTTTTATCTGATTACCAAAATGCTATGTTACATAAAATTCAAATATTATGTAAATGTCAACATTGACTATTACTAAACATCCAGGTCTTTAACAAATTGATAGGCTAGAAATGATGTAGCATTACACTATCAATTTGCATCTTCTCAATCATTAGTGTGAGAGAGTGTATGTAGACAGTTGAGAAGCTGAGACCCTAGAGAATCTGGTCAGAACATGTTTTAGTACATTTCTGAATGTTTACACTTTTGTCTTTGAATTGTTTTTCTCATTTACTTATTTTTCCATTTTGTTTGCCTTTTATCTTGTACAAAGAAATACATTACAAGAATGCAAACACAAATGCGTTATATACTATATATGTTGCAAATCATTTACCCCAAGAAATGATTTGCCTTTTAATCTTGTTTATAGAATATTTTAGACTCAGTTGAATAAACAGGGAGAGACGACTGTGAAGGAGTAGAAATATCTCCATTTTTATGTCAGAGAAAGATCTGACTTTGAATTTTGGACCCTCAACTCACTGTCTGATGCTTTGGAAGTTGCATAAATCTCTCGGAGCCTCTATTTCTTTTAGATAAAGAAGATGGTATTATCTGATTAATATAGTTTTGAGAGGATTAAATGAGATAACACAACTGAAGGCACTGTGCAGACATCAAAACACCATTCAAATTTAAGTGGCCCGTTGAGATGCCATGCTATTAGATAGAGCACGGTGTGTTTCTTAGCCTGCATTAGACCTAACTATTGTCTTTTATATGAGCAAACTTACATTCCAATTTACAACATGGGTGATTATAAGCACTAGACCTCAGCGTATTGTTTTGCAATCTTTTGTCTTTTTCCATGACTGGTAGCTTTGATTCTTTTCCCTTTTGTGGAAAGGCCTGCTTAGCTTTTCCCTTTTGTGGAAAGACAATGAGAATTGCCTTTTATGTAAACTGATCCATTCATTTTATGAACTGTATTCTCCAGCCTAAACATGAGCTTTCTACCAATCCAATTGTTTATTTGTTACCAAATTTATTCCTCCCTTTTTACCTATCCTTTTAAGAGAGCTCTCCTTTATTTCCCCAGAAAAGCCCCTTAAATGCCCAAACTGCCTGCAAGACTTTCTCAGTGCCTTGTAGATGTAGAATTTACCATGTCTTTGAAATGTTAACATCCAGAAAATTAGCTAAGCAACATTCCATCTAAGATCAGATTTAAAACAGTTAAAGTACATTAGACCCATCACAAAATTTTTTTCTTAGTATATAAATGTGTATAAGAAATTAATTTGGCACTGGGCATGGTGGCTTACACCTGTAATCCCAGCACTTTAGGAGGCTGAGGCGGGACAATCTCTCAAGAGGGATTCAAGACCAGCTTGGGAAACATCGTGAGACCTCCCATCTCTACAAAAAGTAAAATGTCAGCCAGGTGTGGAGGTGTTCATCTGTAGTTCCAGCTACTTGTGAGGCTGAGGTGGGAGGACCGCTTGAGGCCAGGATGTCAAGGCTGCAGTGAGCCAGGACTATGCCACTGTACTCCAGCCTGGATGACAGAATGGGACCCTGTCTCAGAAAATAAAGAAAGAAATTAATTTGAATTTTTGTTTTCATATTTTTTGTATGACTCTTGATCTTTTGAGGTCCCTATTTTTAATCTTTTCTACTGAAGAAAACCAAAATATTTCTTTTTAAAGTACTGGCGATTGTTGAGGCAAAGAAGGTTAAAGTGCAGCAGACACTCTGCCCCTTCCCCTGCTTGACTGACAGCAGGACAGCGATTTACAAAGACAAAGAGCTTCTTGCCCGCCTTTTCCCATCTAAAGATAGGCCCCTTTACAACACTTGCTTATCAGCTGGGAGACAGCAGTGCCAAAGAATCTAGGAATAGACTTTATGCTTCCCATAAATTTACCCTCCTACATTTTCTCACCTTTTGGCACTGCTCCCATAGCAGCTTTTGTTTTCCTGTTTTACTGACTGTCTCTTTAATTTAGGGGTGTCCTGTCTTTTGGTTTCCTTGGGCCACATTAGAAGAAGAATTTTCTTGGGCCACACATAAAATACATTAACACTGACAATAGCTGCTGAGCTATATATAAAAAAAAAAGTCACAGAAAAATCACATAATGCTTTAAGAAAGTTTACGAATTTGTATTGGGCCACATTCAAAGCCATCCTGGACAGCATGTGCCCTGTGGGCCATGAGTTGGACAATATTGCTTTAAATCTTCCATCTGGACTTTGTATGTAGACAGTCAGCTGAGAAGCTGAGATCCTAGAGAATCTGACTGGACAGATGTGGGTTGTAATCCACTTGTAGCTAGTGAAACTTTTCTTTCATTAAGCTGTCTTTGGGGTGGTTCTGGATTTGGTGAGGACAGTGTTGCACAATTTTGGAGATAACCTGTTAAGTCTCTGGTTAAGTCATAATGTTGGTTATTGGTTTTGGTGAGTCCCTTGGAAAGATACTTTTGGTTTAAAAGAGGAATAAAGCAGGAATATTTGTTGTTTGTCATGGCTGAACTCTGACAAGATATTTGAAAATATATTTTTGAGAGCTCTATAGTCAAAAGCTGCCTCAATGAAAAGCTGATATTTATAATATATAAGTATATACATATATATTTTTAGGCTTCTGTTCTCTCTATAAAAGCTTCTCAGTTGACTAAATTCCTTTCTTTTAAACCCTTGCTAACTCTATGCACCCCCTCGGACTGCTTCTCTT
The DNA here is from genome assembly GCF_000001405.40 of Homo sapiens. Lineage (NCBI taxonomy): Eukaryota > Metazoa > Chordata > Mammalia > Primates > Hominidae > Homo > Homo sapiens. Next base: position 85,153,569 of record NC_000010.11, read on the forward strand.
TTGCTGACATGATTATTTCCAAGGATAATTTAAAACTTAAATGGCCTATTAGAAAGCTTAAATTCTTTATCTGTGATTTGAAAGTAAATTTACTACCTTATTCTCTAAAACTTAGTAAAGACTTCAGCCATGTCAGACAGGTAAAGTTTAACTTGTTTCATTTCCAACTATGCAGTTTGAATCCAACTGTCATTTTAAATTAATGAGTGTTCCTTCTTTCATGGCTCAAATGTAAAACTGAAGTTATAAAATCATTTGTCTGCATTTTATCCATGTACATATACATGTCTGTGTTTGTATACTGTATACATGGTACCAAATTGACTTATAAATAAACGAGTGCTCATAAATTAAGTAAATAAGTCCAAATGCTTTCCAAGTTTACAGGACATATTAGTAATCTTCAGTAAATAAAGCTAGCTCTAAAATTATTGGTAAAATAAAACTAGAATGTATTCAGAATTGTGTTAAATATAATTCAGACATTTTGCCTTGGGTCTCCTGGTTAGACAAGTTTAGGCTGCCTCTTCTAGCTGTTTTAAGGTCATAAAACTGTTTCTTCCATGATATTTTGGATACTTGTTTGATTTGTCTATGAGTTTATATCTTTGATTTTGATGCAGATTTTCAGGTTCTGTGTAAGCAGCCACAGTGAGGCCTGGTGGCCTAGACCATCATCTGCAGGAAAGCCAAGCCCAGTACGTCCTCCCTGGCCCAGCTGTGCCTCTGGGACATGCTAGGTAGATTCATATTCTCCATGCATTGTCTTCATAGGGCTGTCTTCTATCTTGGGTCCTACATCTGGTGTATAGCATTTAAATTGCTTACTTTCTAGAATTTGCACTGAAAATTAGGATTACTAAGGGTTAACATTTTAATAAATATATGTAATGAAAACCACTAAATAGAACAGGAACACTTCTGTATACAAAGTATATAAGTAAAGTAGGAAATGTTTCCAGTAAAGAAGGATATTCAAAAGACATAAAAATGCGATTTTGGTTAAAGGAAAAGTAAATTTGCCTAACTTAAAAGTTATTTAAGGCTGCTTTAAATTTTTAAAAAAGGGCTGGGTGCCGTGGCTCACCCCTGTAATCCCAGCACTTTCGGAGGCCAAAGTGGGTGGATCACTTGAGGTCAGGAGTTCAAGACCAGTCTGGCCAGCATGGCAAAACCCTGCCCCTACTAAAAATACAAAAATTAGTCGGGCATGGTGGCAGGTGCCTGTAATCACAGCTACTCAGGAGGCTGAGGCAGGAGGATAGCTTGAACTGTGAGGCAGAGGTTGCAGGGAGCTGAGATCATGCCACTGCCCTCTAGCCTGGGCAATAAAGACTCTGCCTCAATAAATAAATAAAGAAATAAAAAAGAATGACAGATAAAACTAAGTAGATATAGAAAGTTGAGAAAAATTAGAAAAATTGTAAGAGGTTATATAAAATGTTTGCAGAAATCTTATCTTGCGGCCAGGCGCGGTGGCTTACACCTGTAATCCCAGCACTTTGGGAGGCCGAGGTGGGCAGATCACGAGGTCAGGAGTTTGAGACCAGCCTGACCAATATAATGAAACTCCATCTCTACTAAAAATACAAAAATTAGCTGGGCATAGTGGTGTGCCCCAGTAGTCCCAGCTACTTGGGAGGCTGAGTCAGGAGAATAGCTTGAACCCAGGAGGCAGAGGTTGCATTAAGCCAAGACTGCACCATTACACTCAAGCCTGGGTGACAGAGTAAGACTGCATTAAAAAAAATAAAATTCTTATCTTACATGGTAAAGCTGATTGAAACTGGATAAATCTGTTTAAAGATTTTATGAAAATTAAGTTTTATATTAATAACACACTGATCCATGGGAAAATTTTCTTTTTTTTTCCTTTGGACAAGATTTTAGGATAGTATTAATAAGAAATGGTAAAACATTTTATTTGCCTTTCGAGTAAACTACAAAAACAGAAAGGGGAGAGAAAGTGAAAGATTCTGTTTTTCTTTCATGCTGTCTTTATTCAGTTTTTTTGGATTGTTTGGAAAACTGAGTCTCCTCTCAAATCGTAAGGGTTTTTGCTTTATTGAATCTTTAAATAATAGCTTAAGCTAAAATGAATGACTTACTTTACATTGACCTATGATCCAATTTTGATCAAGTATTTTAAATCTTTAATACTTGACAAACTTCCCAAAATCACATTCCAGCTTTTAAATTAAGTCTTTTTCACTTCAAACTAACTTTTGGCTATTAGGGCCCCTGGAGGTCCAAATAGGGCCCTGGAAGTCTAAGGGAGACATATTAGTCTTATTTGCTACATTAAAATCTTATGGAAAGCATTGTCAAATAATAAAGGATGTTTAACTTCCTTTGAGTTATAGTTGCATAGATATGTTATTAATATATGCTCCAAAAGTGCATGGAATTCCAACAAATTTAATATGTCTTGATATATGCAGTAAATTGCTTTATTCTGTGGCCCTTTACTAAAAGCTTCTTGCAAATCCTAAAGTGTTGTGTCTTCAAGGAAATTTATGAAAGGACCCTGTCAAGTATTCTGGAATACAGGTTTCTGATAACTTTGGAAATCATATGATTGAACTATTAGGTGAGTGTGAAAGTAATTGCGGTTTTTGCATTGTTGGAATTGGCTGTTTGATATTGAAATACATTCTTAAATAAATGTGGTTATGTTATACATCATTTTAATGGGCATTTCTTGCTTTATGTGTTTTTGCTAATGACTTATTTCTTGCTGTTTATTTTATTTTATTTTAGACTGTGGGAATGACATTAGACAAAAAGCAAATTCAAGCAATTTTCTTGTTTAAGTTCAAAAGGGGTCGTAAAGCAGCGGAGACAACTTGCAACTTCAACGCATTTGGCCCAGGAGCTTCTAACGAACATACAGTGCAGTGGTGGTTCAAGAAGTTTTGCAAAAAAGATGAGAGCCTTGAAGATGAGGAGCATAGTGGCCTGCCGTCAGAAGCGAACAATAACCAACTGAGAACAGTTACCAAAGCTGATCCTTTTAGAACTACACAAGAATTTGCTGAAGAACCCAACGTTGACTATTTTATGGTCATTCAGCGTTTAAAGCAAATTGGAAAGGTGAAAAAGCTCGATAAGTGGGTGCGTCATGAGCTGAGCAAAAATTTAAAAAATCATTGAAGGGTTGTTTTCTCTTATTCTATGCAAGAACAATGAGCCATTTATCAATTGGATTGTAAAGGGCAATGAAAAGTGGATTTTATGTGACAAACAGCAATGACCAGCTCAGTGGCTGGACTGAGAAGAAGCTCCAAAGCACTTCCCAGGGTCAAACTTGCATCAAAAAAAGGTCATGGTCACTGTTTGGTGGTCTGCTGCTGGTCTGATCCACTACAGCTTTCTGAATCCTGGTGAAACCATTGTATCTGAGAAGTATGCTCAGCAAATCGATGAGATGCACAGAAAACTGCAATGCCTGTAGCTGGCATTGGTCAACAGACAGGGCCCAATTCTTCTCCAATAACACCTGACCACACGTCGCACAACCAATGCTCCAAAAGTTCAATGAGTTGGGCTACAAAGTTTTGCCTCATCCACCATATTCGCCTGACCTCTGGCCAACCAACCACCACTTCTTCAGGCATCTCAAAAACTTTTTGCAGGGAAAATGCCTCCACAACCAGTAGGATGCAGAAAATGCTTTCCAAGAATTCAAATCCTGAAGCATGAATTTTTATGCTACACGAATAAACACATATTTCTCGTTGGCAAAAATGTGTTGATTGTAATGGTTCCTATTTTGATTAGTAAAGATGTGTTTAAGCCTAGTTTTAATGACTTAAAATTCATGGTCCAAAACCGCAATTACTTTTGCACCAACCTACTTCCAGCACTCTCATAAAAAATTGATGTGTTCATGAAGATTGCTAACCCATAGTCAAGCAGAACAATAATTAATTACATGAGACTGAACTGATAAACTGAAATAGTATCTTATGACTTCTTGTTTGAAACATTGCTGATTATTTTAATATTTAATATTTCGTTTTCCAGAGTAAAGAAAACTTTTTTTGAGCTATTGATAGCTTACAGCAATTGAGTAAAGTATATGTTTGTGAGCGAAATTAAAACACTTTTTTTTCTCTCTACCCGAATTCTCTAGAATACAGAAAGTATTTATTAGTATTGCCATTTTCTGGCAATATAGTTATTTGCGTAAGTTCAATGAGAATAGTCTTTTTAAAAATTTTTTTGTAACCTGAGACATAGAAAACTTTCTTTTATCAAGATTTTGAATAGAATGGCTAATTTTCAGATATAATCAAGCTGCTTTGAGGGATCGAAGTTGACTTTATAAAGCCAATAGAGTTGGAAAAAGGCTGGTCTGATACTTTATCTACGTGGTTCCCTTACAAGAATCCTGACCTTGCATTGCAATAAGAAAACAATATTAGTCTCTGACAGGCCCAGGAAACTCAAGATATTTTGAGACCTTTAGAAGAGGGAAATTCACCTAATTTGCACAAGTACTATAGATCCAGTCTGATGATGAATCCCTGGCTTGGTTTCCTAGCTGCAAGAGACTTTTAAAGTTATGATCTGAAATTCCTGATGAACAAGTTCCAACTAAGGCCAGGTGCAGTTGCTCACGCCTGTAATCCCAGCACTTTGGGAGGCCGAGGCTGGCGGATCACGAGGTCAGGAGTTCGAAACCAGCCTGACCAACATGGTGAAACCCCGTCTCTACTGAAAATACCCAAATTAGCCGGGCGTGGTTGCGCATGCCTATAATCCCAGCTACTCAGGAGGCTGAGGCAGTAGAATCGCTTGAACCTGGGAGGCACAGGTTGCAGTGAGCCGAGAGCATGCCATTGCACTCCAGCCTGGGCAACAGAATGAGACTCTGTCTCAAAAAAAAAAAAAAACAAAAAAGTTCCAGCTAAGCCAACTAAAAGGAGCCTATGTGGTCAATAACTTTTCTTGCTAAACTTTCTGTAAGTAATCAGGCCAAGTGTAATAAAGACTAAAACTTATTTTACAAACCAATTGCTTCTACTATTATCTGTATTTAGTAAAATTAGAGAGAATGGAGAGAGAAAAAATTATGTTTCAATAAGACACCTCTTACTAGACTCTAGTTCTGACTATTTTTTTTGAGTTTTTATTATTCATTTACAATTTAAACTGAATCCTGAATTATTTCCTGGGTACAAGTCTGTAAAGAAGAACTCAGATTTATTTTTTTCATGACATTTTTAGTTGGAATTGTTTTTTGTTATTGTTAATTTTTGTTGCTGTTGTTCTGGAACACAAATTCTTTCTTTAATTATAATCCTTGTGTACATTATGTTTCTACTTTCAAATTTTTTATGCTATGTATCTCTCATTGTTTTACTTATTCCAAGAAAATCATGGTATTCCAAAGATTAGTGAGGATTCAACAAGCAACACCAGCTACATAAATCAGTGACTTGACTAAAGACTCATTTTTTCGCCACTCAGTGATGCCATGCCAATTCAGCTTTTGGGTGCTCTTAAAATTTGTCACAGAGCTCCTTCCCTCTGACGTGGTACAGGACTATTGAAGAAAAAGCCTCTTTGGTGACAAAGGACCTATTGACACTCACACTCTGATTGTTAATGCTATTAAAAAATTTTTTTGATCAAAAGGGAAGAATGAGAAAGAAAAGGAACTTTTTTAAAAAATTTATTTTTATTTTTTATTTTTGTGACAAAGTCTTGCTCGACGTGTCGCCCAGGCTGGAGTGCAATGGCGCGACTCGGCTCACTGCAAGATCTGCCTCTGAAAAGAAACTTTTTATCTGAGGAATGTGAATCCCCTTTAATTATCAAGTCCACAGAGGAATTGAAATGCAACAGCAGTCACATTTCACTCCTCACTTGTGCTAGATAATTACAACTTGAAACCATTTCTAGGTGGGCTCTAGACTAACTGATGCCAAATCACCATAAAATGCCATCAGTTGGTCACAATAACTCATAGCCTTTAGTTCAACAGTGTATAGCCAAATACTCAACAATGTGAATTCTATAAACCAGTGAAAATTCCTGTCAAACAACTTTGTATCAGCCCACTCTTTATCCCCCTTTTACCTTTAAAAATATGCTTGGCAGGGCACGGTGGCTCATGCCTGTAATCCCAGCACTTTAGGAGGCCAAGATGGGTGGATCACAAGGTCAAGAGATTGAGACCATCCCGGGCAACATGGAACCCGCCTCTACTAAAAATACAAAAATTAACTGGTTGTGGTGGTGCCCGACTGTAGTCCCAGCTACTCGGGAGGCTGAGGCAGGAGAATCACTTGAACCCAGGAGGCAGAGGTTGTAGCAAGCCGAGATTACGCCACTGCACTCCAATGTAGCGACAGAGCAAGACTCCATCTCAAAAAAAAAAAAAAAAGAAAAAAAAAGGTTGTATCAAAGGCTGAAAGGAGCACTCCCCAATGCAACTTGGAAGTATGACCTAGGAAGCTGTCCTCACCCTTGGCCCAAATGAACTCTCTATGTTAATTTTGCCTCAGTTTCCTATTTTAGACTGACAGTATTGTTTCCAAAGACAAGATCACTATTTAATTTTTTATATTTGTTTATCTAATCATGATTTACAAGTGTATTTACATATAAAAGTTTTTAAGATTATTTTTCTAATATTATTTATTTGATTTATGTGTTTAGTATGTGCCTGTTTGTGTGTCTGTGTTTATCTGACTGACTTGCCAAATTTTTATGTATTTTACTGGGCTTTAAAAATAAAAACTTTAAGCCTTATTCATAAATTTTTTTGTCATTAATTTCTGATGTTATAATTATTATGTGTTTTTCTTCTATCTTATTTGAGCTTATTTTACTTTTTTCTTATTTTTTTTAAAATTAAATGCTGCTTTCCTGGTTCTACTTCTAGAAGACAATAGACAAAAGGTGCCAAATGAGGATGAGTATTTTTTAAGGTGTCTGATAATGACTAAATTACAAAATGTCTGGGGACTCTGAGAAAAAAAAGAGCACACCTTACATAACAGCCAGGTTTTCCTTGTGGCCAGATTCCAGGCTTCTTATAACAAGTTTCAATAGATGCTAAGTTCTCACCAATATCACAGATCAGATTAGACATTCTCCAGAGCAAGAATAAATAAGGGGAGGAGTGGATTAGAACCCCTGTAATATCTGCAACTGTATGGGGGAGAAATGTGTTTCCCAAGATTATCAGGAAAATAACTTCACCCCAGATGATTTATATCTTTTTATAATCCTGTTGAGTTAATTACGAAGACGGTGGTCATCCAGGCTTATGCGAATACTTCTAGAGGAACATACAAAATGGTCTTTTTTCATACACCGTGTCCCCCTTATCAGATTTTAACTGCTTATCACCAGATCAGGCATGTCCTTTCAGCTATACATTCATATATAGATATGTACACAACAAATTTTTAAGCGGAGGTGAACTTATATTGATGAAATTATTTCATATGAATTTTTCTGCAATATACTTTTTTTTCTCATTTAAGAGTGTGACTTAAGGTCTTTCTAGCGGTGGATATAAGCCCATATATATTTTATATAATTTTATTATAAAAGTGTATTTTCTGGGTATAAAATAATTAGGTATATCACATTTCTACTGACAACATTTAGATTACTTTCTAATTTTGGATATTATAATCAATGAAACAGTAAACATTCTGGCATACAAATTTTAATATACTTGTGTAGTTAATAATAATGGGCAAATTCTTCCTAAAAGCTGCCACCAATTGACTTGTCTTCCAATCGCCTGTGAGAGTACCCATTATTCTGAATCCTCACCAACACTTCCTATATCCTATGTTTTTTTAGACTGCCATTCAGATGCCCTGAAAACTTGACACCTAGTCTCTATTTAAAAATGTTTTCTTGTCTACTTGTAGAAATAGCATTAACATATTTATTTGTCATTCTATAACTCCATTTTTGGGATTTTTCCATGTTGTGCCTTGTCTTTTTTTTCACCAACTTTTAGGATCTTTTGTTTTAGACACCAATCTAGTGTTGCATATATAAGTTGCCAAAAATATAAGCACAGCTTATTTTTCAACTTTATGGCTATTTTTGTCATACAGTATGGGTAATATAGTCAATTCTGTCCATCTTTTGCCTTAATTCTGCACGGTTTGTATCTTGTTCAAGGATTTCTTAACTCTCTCTGTTATAATCTTTACGATCTATTGGCCTATGTTTTCTATTGAAATTTTGATTTTTTTTCATGTGCAGGTATTTAATTCACATACAATATTTTGAAAATATGGTATTATATGGGTTATTTATTATGATTACTCTTTTGTATAATCACAACATTTGTTAAATGTTTACTTTTATACAAGCCAAATTCCCACATATATGTGAGATTCTCTGACTTTCTTCTGCTATTTTATTTTGTTGGTAGTAATTTGTATTTCTGTCCTACTCTTGAAGTACTAATATAAGAGTGTGGTTATTATATAACTAACTCCTAAAATTTGTTAGGATATGTGTACCCTTACCCACTTCAGAAAGGCCAGAGAGAAAAATGAAAATTTTTCCAAAGAACTTTCCTTACAGCCAAGGAGGTGGTCTTCGCAAAGCCTGTCCAGCTAAGTTTCACAGTCCTGTGGTCAAGTGACTTGTCTTTTCACAATAGACATGTTTGTTATGGATTTTCTCAGCTTTCTCCACCATTGTGTATGAGACAGAGCAGATAACATACTGTTTTTAGTCATAAGTCACTGGCCCATTGGGAGTTACAAGCAAACCTGATGCAGAGGAAGAAGAATCCTCTGGAAATCCTGGACTTTGAACTAGATTCAATGATTGAATAAGCATTTGGGTTATCTGCTTAAACAGGAGGAAGGATAAAGTGAATATTTCATGAGGAGAAGGGTAAGATGGATCAGATAAAATGCTATGCATTCATTATTGCACCTTTATTAGTTTACCTGGGTGCAGAGCTACACTACATTTCTCATTCTTCTTTGAAATTTGTTGTGACTTTCTACTCCATATATCTGTTCTACTAGTTGTTACATTAACCTTTAAGCAAATGCATTTATGCTTAGAGCTTCTGATCAATGTCAAAACTGTATTGCTAACCATATCCCATGCTCAGGTGCCCAAGAACAAAAATCCTGGTATGATCTCAATACTTCTCTTCCTTCTGAACTCTAATTTTTTGTGGATAGAATACTTACTTAACAGGCGGATTACATTCCATAGTTGTGACTGTTTAGAGTAAATTAGTTCTGTCATACATATTCTCCACGTACTAAGATTTATTTCTCAATTTGCAGGGGGTATGTTAATGAAAACATTTTTGTAAAAAAAGAAATGTAGTCAATATATCTTCTTTACATTGATGTCTAAAAAATTTATTTTTCCTTGTATTTGGACTAAAGTTTGGATATGGATAGGATTTTTCAGTTCAAAATCCATCATTCTTCCTTGTTATGTTCTAGAATCCAGCGCTTTAGGCGAGAAGTTAGTTGTCATTCTAAATCTTACAAGGATGTTGTCTATGGTGGATCTAACCTCCATGTCTTCTGCTTTGTGTCTTTTAATTCTTATTGCTTTGACTGTTTAAACTGTACATTGAAATACGTATTTTAGTTTTATTTTCCACATCACTAAATAACATTTATGCAAGACAATTCTGTTATCTAACTTTGTATTGTTGTAACTTTTTTTTTTGAGACGGAGTCTCAATCCGTCACCCAGGCTGGAGTGCAGTGGCATGATCTCGGGCTCAGTGCAAGCTCCACCTCCCGGGTTCACACCATTCTCCTGCCTCAGCCTCCAGAGTAGCTGGGACTACAGGCGCCTGCGACCACGCCCGGCTAATTTTTTGTATTTTTAGTAGAGACGAGGTTTCACCATGTTAACCAGGATGGTCTCGATCTCCTGACCTCGTGATCCACCCGCCTTGGCCTCCCAAAGTGCTAGGATTACAGGCATGAGCCACTGCACCCGGCTATATTGTTGTAACTTTTAATCTTAGTTTTCATGTTTTTATTTTCTATTTTTCAGAACATCCTTTAATCTACATGAAAATATGAACACAAAATATTTAAAATCTTTTTGTGGTCAATACTAACTCTGATTCCCCTGGTCTTAGTTCTCCTGTTAATTCTGATTTTCTTTGATTTCTCCCTTTCATGATATTAGTTATTTTTAATAGCTAATGTTTGATGTTTGACGATTTTTTTTTACTTGCTCATTTGCATGTATTGAGGAGCTTATACATTCAGCTGTGATCATTGTCCATGGGAATTTTCTTGGCACACGTGACAATTTTTTTATTGAATGTTGAGGCCACTATGTCCAGTGGGTAGGAAGGTGCAAGCAGGTAGGTTTCACCTTGAAGGTGCCTAGGAGCCTATCTGGACAACTTGGTAGCCCTGTTCTCCACAGCCAGAGCCCAAAGTCACCCCGTTACTGGAACTCTGGCAGAATTCCCACAGCCTATAGGAAAGAAGTTCTGCAGACTTTATCCAGTTAAAAAATGTAACAAACAGCAAGCCTGAGAGCAGGGGGCTTCAGCAGCTATTCTATAATCCTCTAATTAATAACATAGGGAAAAAACTAATGCTCTGCTCTTCACTTTTGCTATGATCTTTCTTGTTTTTAAGGTATTCTTTTGAAAACGCTTAATTTTTTAGAGGTTCTCTCTTTTGTTTTTTATACATTTCACAGTTCCTCAGCTATATGAGGTTTGGGGAATGAATATCATTTCATTAGCTAAATATCTTTTGGAAACATTCTATATTACTTTGCTTTTGATGGCATTCTTCCTAAAATTTTAGCATTGCTTCTTGTTTTTATTTCTATTTCAGAGTAATTTTGTGATTTTCATGAGAGTTTGAGAAAAACCAGAGGAAAATATTTATGCTCAGTGAGTCATTTTGAATGAGAACTCAGGTTCCTTTTCCTTCCTTTCAATTTTTACATTCGAGGTTCACCATTACCAGCCCTGGTTAGATCTCTTTAATCAAGATTCTTGAAGTGAAGCCTCAATCTTCAACTCAATGAATTTTTTTTGCCTTATTGATTACTTATTCAACTGTTCTGCAGTTTTGTTTTCTTGAAAGTGTGTGCCTTTATGCATAAATATGCAGAAATACTGTCTTCATAGATTCTATCCTTAAACTGATCTTTGTTTCCTTTCTGCTAAGCTGTTTGACTTTTTACAAATCAGATTTTGAATCCATTATTTGTTTTCTACAGTTTCCAACCTGATATCTTCTCCCTTCCTTGACTTTATGCTTTTTGATCATGTGAATTTTCATTTGAAAACAAGATTATCTAATTATTTTTTTTCTTTTCACACCTTTAAATGCATATCTTGATAAATACATGAAGTGAAGTATCTCCTCAAAGTGTTCTGTTTTCTTAGAATAAATTTGTTTTAGAAGGAAACATTTGATCTTATTTCTCAGTTTCTTATAATTCTGTGATATTTTATTTTTCTGTTTGCCCTCCCTCATGAAAGAAGGATCTGTATGTTAGTCTAATATTGAGTATGAAGATGGACATGGTTTAAGAACAGGCAGAATTTTGTTCTGATTTCTAGGGCTGGATGCCTGAGAGGAGCAGGTTGAGACTTGCTGAACTTGTCATTTGTGAAGAGTTGTATAGTGGTCTGAGCACACAAGACGGATCAAGAGATATGCACCTGTCCACCTGTACAATTAGAGAGCTTTACCTCTCTTCTGAAGGTTTTTTTTCATTTTCTTTTCTTCTTATTTTCTTTTTTTGTGATAGCTTAAGAATATAGTCTGTTCTCTGTATCCATGCATGGATTCCACATCCTTATATTCAACCAACCCCGGACCAAAAATATTTGGAAAAAGTGGATGGTTGCATCTGCATTGAAGATGTAAAGACTTCTTTTCTTGTCATTATTCCTTAAACAATGCAGTATAGCCACTATTCACATACCATTTACATTGTATTAAGTATTATAAGTAATCTAGAGATGACTTAAACTATACAGGAGTATGTGTATAGGTTATATGCAAATACTAAACCATTTTATGTCAGGGACTTAAGCATCATGGATTTTGGTATCTGCAGGGGTCATGGATCCAATTCCCCATAGATATCGAGGGACAACTGTGTCTGGATTAGGGGATCTTTCCTGTAAAGAGACAGAGCCTCCCTCATTAGACACTCATTTGAGCAGTACCACCTCTATTTCCTGCAGCGTCCTAGGAATAGATCTGCTGTGCTGGTTACCACTGGCACTGGTAGGGCTGCATTTGCATTTTACCAGTTATGTCATGGCCAAAAGTTGCCTTCAGGCTCTGCTCCTTGAGATTTGGCATTGATGTTGGGATTTTGCTGGAGGCCTTCTGCCCACTCCCAAGCATAGGCAGCTCTGTAAGAGTCCTCAGCCTTTTATTTTATCCAGTGTTCTGGGTGTAGTTCATAGTCTTTGAATTTTTGTTTTGCCTTTGGGTGCCATGCTTCCTTAGTTTCAAGTGGTGATACATGTTTCTCTCAATCCCATTTTTCACCCTTCATTTTGATGACGTTGTTAAAGGGACAAGTTTAATGTGTGGTTTTTTTGTTTTGTTTTGTTTTGGTTTTTTTTGAGACGGAGTCTCGCTCTGTCGCCCAGGCCGGACTGCGGACTGCAGTGGCGCAATCTCGGCTCACTGCAAGCTCCGCTTCCCGGGTTCACGCCATTCTCCTGCCTCAGCCTCCCGAGTAGCTGGGACTACAGGCGCCCGCCACCGCGCCCGGCTAATTTTTTGTATTTTTAGTAGAGACGGGGTTTCACCTTGTTAGCCAGGATGGTCTCGATCTCCTGACCTCATGATCCACCCGCCTCGGCCTCCCAAAGTGCTGGGATTACAGGCGTGAGCCACCGCGCTCGGCCATGTGTGGTTTTAAATTGCCATTTGAACTGAAAGCCCTACTGATTCTATGTTCAGTCACATCATCTCTGCTCTCTTTGATTCTTTAAGATGGATTTTAATTCTTTTTTTGTTGTTTGAATTCCTTGAAAGTCCTTTGATCATACACCTGCCTGTAAATTTCACCCTCTTCATTCCTTATCTCATGCTATTGAATTTCCATCTCTGTCTTTCATTTGCTTAAGGCTTTCTGCACTGGTTTCATGGAGGATGTGCCTCCTATTTTACTGACAATATCAAACTCTTTTTGATGTTTTATTCTTATTCTGCTCAACAATTTCCATCTCATTCCCTGTGCCTTGCTGCTCAGAGTCTTGGGGTTGTGCTCTTTTTGTTTCACTGTTTAGTGTGTGTCCCTTGCTGTGTTTTTTTTTTTTCTCTTTGATAACTGTTAAGGTCACCATCTAACTTATCACTTATAATGAGACAATTTTGAAAGACAAAGAGGTACCTAAATGATAAAATTATATAATATAGATATGATAAAAATATCTATGTATTAATGGATAGATTGGTTTTATTATACTAGGAACTTATAAAGTAATTTGAATGCAAAAATCTTAAGAAAAATATTAGCAAATCAAATTCAATGAGATATTAAGAAAATAATATGTCATGAACAGGTAAGGTTTACCTGGATCTGTAATGCTTATTTAACATTTAAAGATCAATCAATATTACTTACACATACATAAAAAGAAAAAAGAAAAATCATATGATCACTGTGATATATGTAGAGAAAGCATTTAATATTCTCTACCCATTCATGTTTCTAAAAATTAGTAAACTACCATGTGTATCTCCAAAATATCAGAGTAAAAAGCATATTCATTTTTGAAATATTGATTTTTTTCATTTAAGATACAAAATAAGACCAAAATGCAAAATGCCCTATCTCCTTGCTGCTATTCAACTCTATGCTAGAATTCCTAGCCAGTGCAATCAAGATAAAGTACTAACTTTAATATATTTTAATGCTTCTCTAGGGATTTTTGTCTTCTTACCTGCAGTGAGAAAAAGTACTATGACCCCACAGTAAAAAGTAAATGTTATAGGTGTAAGTTACAGGTCCATCACCAAATTTTGTAAGAGATGGAATTTCAATACCCTTGTTTAAATGAAATGTGCCCTTACATTTGTTAGTTCACAACTGCCAAAGAGCTTACTACAAAATTAAAAACAGCCAAAAAGGCTGAGTGCAGTGGCTCATGCCTGTAATCCCAGCACTTTGGGAGGCCGAGATGGGCAGATCACAAGGTCAGGAGATCGAGACCATCCTGGCTAACACAGTGAGACCCTGTCTCTACTAAAAATACAAAAAATTAGCCGGGCGTGGTCGCAGGCGCCTGTAGTCCCAGCTACTCTGGAGGCTGAGGCAGGAGAATGGCATGAACCTGGGAGGAAGAGGTTGCAGTGAGCCATAATCGTGCCACTGCACTCCAGCCTGGGCAACAGAGCAAGACTCCACCTCAAAAAACAAACAAACAAACAAACAACAACAACAACAAAACCAGCCAAAAAGCTGTTTTAGCAAACAATGAAATAAATAGTCTTAGATTTAAACATATAATAAATAAATTCACAGTAGCATCAACACTCAGTACTCTCTTCATATGACAGGACTCAGCCTTATTTTCCATGTCTATTTTATGTACAATTTACCACATTTCCTTCTAACTCTTCCAACTGACAGGCTAACAATTTTATGTTTTTGACAGAATGCAAAAAGGAATCACCATGGATTGGTACACCAAGTGGCTAGTGGTGACAGCCGTGTCAAATGTCTGAGACCAAAAGGAATTAGATGAACTTGGCCACTCCTCTTGAGCACAATTTATTTTATCAACAAAAATAAAGCTTCCTGCATGCAGTCTGAAAGGGAGAGTGTAGTTAAATTCTGCCTGGGGAGAGTCAGGAATGTAAGTTTGAATGTAATGTGTTGATATTCCTTGGTTGCTTGCAAACTTTTTATCTTTTTATTGGGTTTTGCAATTCGATACGACGTGCCTAAGTGTGGTTCTCATTAAATGTACGACGTTCAGTGTTTGCTCAGCTGCTTGAATCTGTGTTTTTGAACAAATTTGGGAGGTTTTTGGATATTATTTTTTAAACATTTTTCTCTCCCTTTCTCTATTCTTCTTTTCTGGGACTCTAATTTTCTGGACCTTTGGAAGCTGTGCCCATGACACACACATTCTCTTTAACTTACTATTCTTTATTTTTTTCTACTTTTCTTTAGATTGTATGATTTATATTGATCTATTTTTTTGGGTTTACTTGTTTCTTTCTTCCCATTGCTACACTGTTATTAAAACCATCTGTTGAAAATATTATTCTAGGTATTGTATTTTACAGATTTAGAATGTCCAATATGTTATTTTTTATATTACCTATTTTTTTTGCAGAGATTTGTTATCTTTTCAGTTATTCTAAGTGTGTTATCAGTGTATGATCCTTCATTTTGGCGAGCATATTTGTAATAGGCTCTTTAACATCCTTATCTTATATTTCTAGCATCTGCATCATTGCAAGGTTGGCATCTGTTGCTTATCTTTTTCCTTGTTCTTCATATGCTAACTTTGGATTGCATCCTGGACATTTTAAATGTTATGTTGCATGGATTCTTACATTGCCTCAAAGATTGTTGATTTTTTAAAGTAGGCAATTAACTTGTTAGACTCAAATCCAACTGACCATACCTGCAGTGAATGGTGCTCCAAATGTCACTTCAGTTCTTTAAGCTTGAGTTCAAGCAGCTTTCAGTTTGGCTCTCATACGCATGGTTTAGAAGCCAGTCACAGACTTTTATAAAGTTTATGCACAGAATTAGAAGTTTCATAATTTTGCTTCTATTTTACTCTCTTATTTCTAGTGTTTCTCCTTCATGCTCTGGTAGCCTCAGTAGTTCCAAGGCTTTGCTCACTGGACAGGAAAACTAGTGAATATATGTACATAAAGAAAAGAAAAGTGGTGGAGGAACTCAGTATCTGCTAGATACTTTCTTTAAACTCTAACTTCTCCCCAAATACTGGGTGCTTTTGTTCAGTCTCCAGAACCCTCAAAAGAAGTTTTTGCTTTTTCCTTTTGTTTTGTTTTTAAGCTAACTCAGAATTCTTAGCTATTGTTTTTGGATGCATTTGTTTATTAGGAGCTTACTCCTCAATACTGAATGCCATTCCTAGAGTTTTCAAACTGGCCTGGCACAGAAGCAGACATCTCTAAATTCTTCATGCCATAAATCATTGGTGGACCTTGGATTTCTTGCTAATTCCAGATTTAAGATTATTTAGAAAAAGCACATTCATACTCCCAGCTATTTTACATAGTTATATGTGGATTTTCATATAACAGAATGTTGAACTTAAAGTTTAAACCCAGGCACCAAAGTACTCAAGATGTTGCTGATAAAGTGAAGTATATCAGACCAGAAAGCAGGATTTGAAAATAAGTGGCTGATAACCGATTGCCTGAGTCATGGTAACTTTACATAGTAAATTCTGACACAAATCTAGGTTATAAAGTTTGAGAGAATGGAAACAAAAATAAGATTTCATGATGAAATTTGTTTGCAAAAACTGAGATGGTAACTGACTTACCTGGTTCCACCAAGGAAGACAGACAAGTAAGGATACTACCCTCTTCACTTCCAGGCTAGGGACACAGATTTCACAGGAACCTCACAGAGAACTTGAGATAAGAGAGAGGCTAAAAAGGGGATTGAGTCCTGTGAAAGTATGTGGAGGGCAGGTAGGAGAGGCTGCCAAACTGCTTTTCTAGTAGGGAAGCTGGCAAGTTGCTGCTGCTTCTGGGAAGCAGCTTAATTCCCCTGCGTTGGCAGTTCAAAGAGGAATGAGCATCTTCTGGGAACCAGATGCATACTCTGCAGGAGACAGAGCCAACCTGGAGCTATTTTGTGGTCTTCTCAAAAACACTATGTAAAGAGGTGGTGAAACTCCAAAAGTAGGAGTTAATGTAGACGTCTACAAACAAGGCATTGGAAACAAGTAGATAGTAGAAGGAGGGCAGGAAATTGCATGTAGCATGCCCAGCAGAGGAGCTTCCATATTTCTGCAAAGTATCCAAGACAGTCACTATCGACATTTGCAAGGACCAGAGACCTCAAAGGCATCTTGTGGCACTGTCAGCTCCAAAAAGAACACTCCCGTCATGGTCAGTTCTCTTGCTTCTATGGAATGATCAATAAAGAGAGACAGACAAACCATGAATCCTTTTTCCACTGCAAGTAGCCAATGTTATTTTTAGAGATTATTAAAATTTTTAGAACTTGGCATTCTAATTTATGAATTGAGACTATGTTTGTGAAGAAACAAGAGATATTATTGTTATTTAAGAGAGAAGCAGTCTCATGTAGCCTAACCAATATTGAGACACAATGAGAGTTAAAAACAAAGTCATTTCTATTATTATATACTACGGTGTGTGCTTGTGTGATGTGCTGACATTATACACATTCATAAAGAGCAGAGTGAGCAATTGATTTTGTTTGAGGATCCTGGAGAGCAGCAGGAGGGATGTGACATTTGCAGTGGGTCTTGTTGAATAATAAAGAAAGAAAGTAAAATGAGCAAACACATGGAGTTTTGAAATTGCGCAGTGTGTTACAGGCAACAAGGAGAATTGTGGAATAGAAGTTATGGTGTGGATGAGGAGAAAGGTAAATTGTGGAGAAGGTAGGGTATGGATGAGGAGAAAGACAAATTTGCAAAAGTGGCTTGCAGCTAGTATATTAAAAATATACCATATGGATTTATAGCAAAAAAATGAGGTAGTAGGAAGCTATCAAATTCCTACTATCATGGCCTTTTGTAAGAGTATATGTGCTTTAGAAAAGTAATCTTGTCAGCACACTGAAGGAAAGTTGAAGGGAGAAAGACGAGAGGCAGAGGCAGAGGTGTGTTTGCTAACAGGTGTGGCAGTGCAGTTGAGAGGAGATTCTCACCTGGAGTAGGGAAGAGGCAGTGGAGGTAGAATTGCCAGACTTGGGGACCAGCAGGAGTTGAGGATAACCAAGAAAGAGTAGCTGAGAGCAACGCTCGGACTGTGTGGTTTGAGGTCTTCAGCTGGCTCGTGAGACTGCTAAAACAAACTAGTTAAAGCACGAACTTCAGATTTGAGAGGGTGGAAAGTGAAGCCAACTTTTATGTTGGTGTCAACTCACCTGTAAGATATCCAAATTCAGGTGTTCAGTAGGTAATTATAATGGTGGCTTACACCTGTAATCGCAACACTTTGGGAGGGCGAGGTGGGTGGATCACCTGAGGTCAGGAATTCCAGACTGGCCTGGCCAACATGGCAAAACCCCATCTCTACTAAAAATACAAAACCTAGCTGGCAAAAATTAGCTGGGTGTGGTGGCACACACCTGTAGTCCCGGCTACTTGGGAGGATGAGGCATGAAAATCGCTTGAACCCAGGAGGCAGAGGTTGCAGTGAGCCACTGAGTGAGATTGCGCCACTGCACACTAGCCTGGGCAACAGAGTGGGACTCCGTCTCCAAAAAAAAAAGGGATTTCATCAGTTCAGTGGCTAAGGATTGTTGAAAAGATTGGTATTCATAGGCCTAGTTTCAGGTAAGGGCATAGAGACAGACACTGAAAATCACATTAGAGGCAATGAAGGGAAGAAAATTTGATAAGCAAGAAAAAGGTGTGTCAGTGGTGTGAGAGGAAGAGAATGGCATCACAGGAATACAGCAAGAAAAGACATTTTAAAAACAATGTTGGCTGCATGTTCTGACTTACAAGTGGGAGCTAAATGTTGGGTGCACATGGACGTAAAGATGGAAACAATAGACACTGGAGTCTCCAAAAGAGGGAGGGAGAGAGGAGAGTAAGGGCTGAAAAACTACCTAGTGAGTGCTATGTTCACTATTTGGGTGATGGGATCAATATAAGTCCAAATCACAGCACCACACAATATACTAATTTTAGGTTTTTTTGAGACAAGCTCTCCCTCTGTCACCTAGAATGGAGTGCAATTGCACAAACATGGCTTACTGAAGCCTTGAACCCCTGGGCTCAAGCAGTCCTTCCACCAGAATCTCCCGAGTAGCTGGGACTACCAGTGTGCACTACCACGCCTGGTTAGATTTTTGTTGTTGTTGTTGTTTGTAGAGATGGAGTCTTACTATATTACCCAGGCTGGCCTCAAACTCCTAAGCTCAAGCAGTCCATCCACCTTGGTCTCCAAAAGTGGTAGGATTACAGTTGTGAGTCACCACACCCAGACAATATACCCATTAAACAAACCTGCACATGTACTCCCTAAACCCAAAATAAAATAAAATAAATAAAAATAGTAAGTAAATAAAATAAAAAAACAAAGGGATTCACTCCAGCATTGAGTCACGGACATAAACCAAATAGAATGAGAACTGGAGAGAGTACACTGTATTTGATTACTAGTCAATCGTGTATGGAGTTTGTCTGAACCATTTAATGGGGTGTGGGCTCAGGAATCAGGATGTTATGAAGAGTGAATAAAAGGAAACAAATTAAAAGCTGTGAATATAGGCTGAATTACCTAAACTTTCATTGTGGAATGGAAGGAGAGTGCTAGATGGTTGTATAGGTGCCAGATTTAGAATGGAAGAGCTGGAAAAATGTGTTATGGTAGAGATTATATGAATATAAACTGCTAGGGAAGATACAGAGAGTAAAAGCTATTTCAGTGGTGCCCTCTGCAAACTCTGCAGTGATTAAGAGCAGCCCTGTTGGGTGACAGCATTTAATATGTTCTTACAAAGTATGTTTTCCTGTCTTTGTAACCTTTGGCCAACTTTAATTAATTTAGATCTTGAGATAATACTTGACAATTGTGTAAGAAAAATGGGATAAAGTGAAATGCAAATAATCATTCTGCAGCTGATCTGAAATGAAGTGGAAGTGCTTTCTCTTAGACCTCTGTGCCATTTTATTTTGAAATTGTTTTCTTGTACTTATCTTAGAGACAGAGAAGCTATTGTCCAATTGCAGAGCAGTTATAGTGTGTGTCTTTTTGGTCATTTATGGTTATTCTATTTTACATTTGGTTGTCTATTGATTTATATTGAGCCAGAGAAAAGGCCCTGGCTGTGATACCAAATAGATCTGAACTTTAAAACCAGTTTTATTACTTCTTAGATGTATGACCTTGACTAAGAATTAGCCCCTCTAAGACTCAGTTTCCTCAGCTATAATATGGGGGTAGCACCACCTCCCCTTTCTGAGTTAGTAACGATTTGGGTAAGGTAGCCACCATGGTACTTTACTGACAGTGGCTGCTAACTTAGCAAATGGTTAAGTGTTAATACTAAATATAATCCAGAATTCCCAAAGAGACAGTTGATGGGGGAAAAGTGTTTTGCCTCCTCATGGAAAATCACATACTAATTATTATCTTAAATGTTTGGAGAAGTGGGTGATGGAGGCATCTGCCTATGTAATAAACATTTCAAAATTGGCAGGCTGTGCTCTGATGTGAAGAAAAGAGGAAGTTTTATAGATTATTAGTTTAGTTTCCATCTCTTATTTTATTTCCCATTACCTTGTATCCTCCTAGGTAATACATGTGAGTGAGTGTGTGTGTGTGTGTGTGTGTGTGTGTTGTGTAAGGGGGTGTTGGGTGTTAGCAACAAATCTTATTAACAGAAGTTATCTAATTCTCTTCCATTTAAAAAGTCACTGTCAGGTCAGCTCAGTGTTGCTTGATGAACTAATAAATATTTAGTCAAATTCAAGGTTTAAACTCCTTACCAGGGTCGATTTTTCTCCTTTGCTAGAGATTTCCTTCAGGAAGGTGTGAAGGAACCACTGCTTCCCATGAGAGTCCTGTGCCATGCTCCAGTTTCACAAAACCTCTGTGTGATCACCATCACCTTGCCTGGGCACTGGCATCAGGATGGCATCAGCTGCTCAAGGTCATGGCTGTGAAATCCATGACCTATTTTATCTCATAGTTCCTCGGCAGCTCCGTTACTAACTTTTATCCTTACAGTAGCTCTTGCTAGCCCTTCAAAAATCCTTGCATTTAGGTCAAGTCTTCTGTTAGATGACCACTGCCATAAAAACTCCTTTCCTCCTCGTATTGACCCCAGGGAAAACCTATGGGTGTTAATTCTTAGCCTCCTTCCACCTGCATCCTGGAAGCACACAGAACTTTGAATTTCTTCCAAGCTACGTGAATGTAGATAGGTAGCAGGGATGTTGCCACTGGTTCTCTCTCTTCCTAAACACATGCCTAGGCTGCTCCCATGTCATGTTTTGGGCCTATAGTGAGGGGATCCCCTTCCAAAATTCCAAATACAGCTTTTCTTTCAACCTCCTTGGGTTCTGATATGGTTTGGATCTGTGTCCTTACAAAATCTGAGGTTGAATTATAATCCCCAGTGTTGGAGGTGTGGCCTGGTGGAAGGTGATCAGACTGTGGGGGCAGGTTTGTCATGAATGGTTTAGCACTATTCCCCTTGGTACTGTCCTTACCATGGATAGTGAGTGAGCTCTTGTGAGATCTGGTTGTTTAAAAGTGTATAGCACCTCCCCCTTTGCTCTCTCTCTTGCTCCTACTCCAGCCATGTGAAGTGCTTGCTCCCCTTTTGCCTTTTGCCATGATTGTAAGTTTCCTGAGGCCTCCTTAGAAGCCAAGCAAATGCCAGCACCATGCTTTCTGTGCAGCCTGTAGAACCATGAGTCAATTAAACCTTTTTTCTTTATAAATTACTTGGTCTCAAGCATTTCTTTAGAGCAATGTGAGAGCAGATTAACACCGGGTCTTTGCCCCTCTTCCATCCCCTTCTCCTACATTTTAGCAACTAGAGTGATTCTTGTATCTAATCTCTTGCCTCCTTTAGTTAGCCTCCTTGTCTCATTTCCACCTCCTGGAACCAGAACTTCTCTCCCCTCCATTTCTGATGGGACATACCAAGATATTTATGTCTTATCCTCCTTCCCTCCATTGGGCTTCTATGTTCTAGGATGGCAACTACTTTTTCTCTAAAGCACTAAAAATAGCTTGGTTCAATTGTCAGAAAGCCATTGGGTGTCAGGATTTAAGAAACTGGATAATTTATAATTTTAATTTGATTTTTGATGTTTACTTAACCCAATTTTCCAAAAGTCTATTTATTTATACCATTCCCCCTAAATGTGTATAGTGGTTATTAGGATACTGATTATTGTCTCTCAGCTCCAAACCCATCTTTCTAAACTAAGCTTTGTGATGTTGAGAATGGACTTCTGCAAATCACATTTCTGTTTTAACAACTGCTTCCTGGTAGGATCTTCAAATAGGGGGCACTAGAGGGAGACACAGGGATGGAGGAGAGACAGAGGAGACAGGGAGGCACGCTCCTTATCTGCTTCCTGTGAGCCTTAACCCTGCAATGCTTCTCCACCCTGCCAGGGGAAGTTCCTTCCTGTAGGGGAAGTTCCTTCCTGTAGCAGCTGCTGAAGTCAGTTTGCAGCTTTTCCAACACTTGTAGAACCAACTCTATTCCATCTCTCTCAGAGACACCAGCACCAACCAGACACTACCTGCTTAGAGGATTGGGCCCAGGCCCAAAGGTCCCCTCTTTTGAGCTCAGACACCAGCACCAGCAGTCTGAGTTTCACCTCTGCAGTGTCCCTTCTCCAAAGATTTAAAATTTGAATAATTCCCATTTCTTCCCTTTGTTCCCCAGCTCTAGGGTAGGAACTGCTTACTACGTGTGCTACCTTAATGATGTATAGTTAAAGGCTTTATACCTAATTTACAATTCTGTATGTTAAGTATTCTCTGTAAACATTACAGGTATAATTTCCACCTCCTGATTGAACCCAAGCTGATCTAAACTCCACCAGAATCAGTGTTGTATGAAAGCCATGATGGAATGCACCATTGCATGGTTTGTTGGTAAGGCGGTGAGGCTGGTGATGGGAATGGTGACTGTGGTCACGTATGTCTGTGTGGATGCACCCATCGGCCATGTGTGTTTGGTGAACACACTTGTGCTAAGCAGAGTGATCTCCAGCTCGAGGGGAAGGGGACAGAGGGCCACTGAAGACTCAAATATGCAGGAAAGAAAAATAGGTGTTAAGGCTAAAACAATTTAACATATTCCTGCCAGATTTTTCCCAAATTCAGTATTTACAGCCAACTCAAATTATGGTCCCTGGACCAAAACCATCAGCATCATCTGGGAGCTTGTTAGAAACACAGACTGTCATGCTCCCCGCTAGGTTTGCTAAGTTAGGGTCTTCATGTAACCAGTGATGATTTTATGCACATTAAAGTTAGACAAACTCTGTACTAGAAATGATACATGGATGGGCATGGATGGAACAAGTACTACATCAAGCAAAAATCATATACCTACATTCCATTTCTAATCCCTAACACTCCTGCTTTTCTGGCTCTCTATATCCCCTCAGAAATAGCCTTCGTTACAAAACTTTCTAAAAATTAGAGATGGTGAAAAGGGACATCTTAGGAATCATAGACTTCCTAGGTTAAGCATATTAGACTAAGATGGGGCAGCAATGGAGGAGTCTTTTAGGTGGTGCAATTACTTTAAAAAAGAAAACGGAGACCAGGCACGGTGGCTCATGTCTGTAATCCCAGCACTTTGGAAGGCCGAGGTGGGCAGATCAGGAGGTCAGGAGATTGAGACCATCCTGGCCAACATGGTGAAACCCCTATCTCTACTAAAAATACAAAAAATTAGCTGGGTGTGATGGCACGTGCCTGTAGTCCCAGCTACTCAGGAGGCTGAGACAGGAGAATCACTTGAACCCGGGAGGCAGAGGCTGTAGTGAGCCGAGATCACACCACTGCACTCCAGCCTAGGCAACAGAGCGAGACTTACCTCAAAAAAAAAAAAAAAAAAAAAAAAAGGAAAAGAAAAAGAAAGAAAAAGGAAAAAGATAATTATAAACCACCACATATTCTTCATGGTCTATATCTTTATTCTCTTACTGGGAGAATTAGGGGATAGCAATAGGATACAATTGTTCAGGCTAATAGAAGTGCCTGCTAAAAGAACATGGGTGAGGGGGTAACATACCCTCTTGAGCTGTATCTCAGAGGGGGTTGTCCTACAAGGATCCAAAAGGGATATGTTGCTGCCTAGGGCTGTTCACATACCTGATCCATCAGTGACACGTCGTCATCAAAAGTGACTCCCTATTCAGGAGCTGAAAATGTCCCCACAAAAGAAGATTTAAAGATGGGACTTTAAATGTGTAGAAACAGTAGGTTAAGAATCTGGCTTCTATTTTGAGGTAGAGCCAGGGCAGAGGGGTCATTTACAAACACTGGACTCTCTTATGCTTCCACAAGGTTGGAGACTTGGGATAACCTCTTACTGAGAAATGCTTCTAGACCTGGGAGGCCCAAGTGGGGGGCAGTGAAAAATTAGACACAGGGTGTGTCCCCTGAAATCTTTTTCTGAGAATCACCAGAGGCACAAAGTTCCAAATAAAAAGCTGAGGAAATTTGGATCTCTGCCAAATATTTTGCTGTCTTGCTCTCTGTAACATTGTGGCCTACCAGAAAATTCTGCAGCACAACAGATGTAGAAGATGCAGAGGGAAAGCATATCTTTCACAGTTGCTAAGAAAATAGATCACATTTTTAAAAATATCTGATTTGTGTTCTCGGTAAGATAAAGAAGAGCCGTGAAACAAGAAAATGCCATATAAGGAAGAACAGGTGAGAGAAAAAGGCACCATTTTGAGAAAAAAATAGCATAGCTAAAAATTTTAAAGGCTGACACAAAATATTGAAAGCATTATCAGATTTAAAATTGGCATTGGGGTCAAAAAAGAATAAAATTGATGGTGCAGAAAAATTGAATTAATGTTGAAGGAAATGTTTGAGAAATTATTCCAGAAATCAGAAGAAAAGGCCAAGGCTGATAATAATAGGGAGACAAAGATTTATAGGAAGAGAGGAAGGGACAGAGGGGGAGGGGCAAGGGAGGGAGGGAAGGAGGGTGAGAAGAGAAAATGTGTGAAAAAGACAAGAATTTTGAGCTGAATAAAAGAAAATCCCAGACTAAAAGAAGCATCAGTCATCAATAAGGACAAGGTTGATTGTTTAATACCTGGTGCTTCAATAATTGGTGATGAACTACATCTCACCTCATACAATACCTCAAAATAAATCTTATGGATATAATGTAAAACAAATTACATAAAATAATTTAATAAACTCGAAGTAAGTATTTACTAACTTGATGCATGGAGGAGATTATTTTGGTCTTAGAAGCAATGAAAAAAATCTCAATAAAAAGCTGGGCAGATATGAGGAATTTAAAATTAAAGAGTAATGCAGGCTAGGCGCGGTGGCTGAAGCCTGTAATCCCAGCACTTTGGGAGGCCGAGGCGGGCAGATCACCTGAGGTCAGGAGTTCAAGACCAACCTTACTAACATGGGGAAACCCTATCTCTATTAAAAATACAAAAATTAGCTGGGCATGGTGATACATGCCTGTAATCCCAGCTACTCGGGAGACTGATGCAGGAGAATTGCTTGAACCCAGGAGGTGGAGGTTGTGGTGAGCCAAGATCGTGCCATTGCACTCCAGCCTGGGCAACAAGAGCAAACTCTGTCTCAAAAGAAAAAAAAAAAAAAGAAGCCAAAAATCAATAATGGAATAGTGTTTCAGTAAATACAACAATGAGCCCGCAAGTGTCCTTCCCAAGTGAATTTGGTCAACCAAGGAAGGGAGTGAGAACCAGGATCCAGACTCCTGACTGCCATTTCCAGCTGGAGAAACTAGACAGTGTGCACTGACCATGAAGAAACCAGAACCACTGGAGGTCATTCTATGCCACATGCATGGACTCAAGATAAAAAGTGCTATGGTTGAACACTGCAACATTTAATCATTCTCCTACAAGGAACTGACTTATGCAGCTACTAGTGTATTTATTACAATGACCTTAAAATCAATGTGGTTGTTGAACTATGATGCCTACTTTGTTGACCATATTGGTACGGAAATTTACCAAAACTCAGATTGCCTCCTGAAGGAAATGAAGAACTAAATATAGGAGAAAACTAGCTTGAGATAAGACAGAGAGACTCAAAAGGCAAGTAGACCCCTGCCAATTGTAATTTGTCCTGAAATCTACGTCTAATACAGACTAAGAGGAAAGGACTTGTGAGACTAGATGCTTTTTCTCTTTTTTCTTTCTTGGAATATACAGCTTTTATTTTTCTCTACATTTCCTCTTCTCTTTCTCTTCTTTGTCCGTTGCTTATCTTTTCTCATTTTCCCTTTTCCCTTTCTGAGTAAAATGATTGCCCATAGGCGTTGTAATGAGACAGAATCCCCTAACCCCCATGCAGTCAGTTCAGCCACTGTTGACTTCGAAACCCTAGATACATTATTTATGAGTCACAGTTTTCTCTTTTGTGAAATAGAGACAAGAATATCTAGCTTCCAGGATTTTACAAGGATTAAATGAAATAATGCATGTAAAGTTCTTGGCAGACTAGGAGCTCAGGAAATAATGGTTCCCTTTTCCTTTATACTGCTTCTCCCTCTCAAGTTCTCTATTAGGCTGAGCATTTCTGAGGGTCTCAGGCTAGACAATCCATAAAGCTCTACTTGCCAAAAGACAATCTGTCAAATGTCTAGTTACCTTTCAGCAGCAAGGAATAGAGGATAAGATCAGAGTAACTTTACACTGGTATCTGATGTAGTTTGGATGTATGTGTTCACCCAAATCTCATGTTGAAATGTAATCCCCAATTTTGAAGTTGGGGCTTTGTAGGAGGTGAGTGGATCATGGGGATGAATTTCTCATGAATGGTTTAGCACCATCCTTCTTGGTACTGTCCTTGCTATACTGAGTGAAATCTCCTGAGATCTGTTTGTTTAAAAGTGGGTAGCTCCTACCCACTCTGGTTCTTGCTCCTTCTCTGGCCATGTGATATGCCTGCTCCCACTTTACTTTCTGCTATGATTGGAAGCTTCTTGAGACCTCCCCAGAAGCAGATGCCACCACCTTTCCTGTACAGCCTGCAGAACCATGAGCCAATTAAACCTCTTTCCTTTATAAATTACTCGTCTCAGGTATTTCTTCATAGCAATATGAGGATAGCCTAATACAGTCTCCTACCCCCAAACACCACCACCTTTCCTGCTCTCTCACCCAACTCCCAAGATCTCACCTCCCCATACCCAGTTTACTGTGATCTTATCAGTTTAACTTCATTAGGCTGGAGATGGTCAGAGTGTGAAGTACTCCAGATTAAGAGGATTCCAACACATAGACTGTCTGAGAAAGAGACTGCTCAACAATATTTACAAAGAGTCAAGGGCTAATTTTTTCAAACTTTGTGTATGAATGTTGCCTAGGGAGTCTACCAGAAATAACAGTCACTTCTTTCTTCATAGCTGTCCAGATCAGTGGTTCTTTCTTTCCTTCTAAGATAGGCAATAATGATATATTCTCCTCCTTCCAGATACCTCTGGAAATAGGAGATGGGCTAGATTTCCGCATCTAATGTCCTAGCTTCCTTTCACTGGGAGAAATTACCGTATCATTCTGATCAGGTTGGAAGTTTGACTGTGCTGATGCGCACTGGTGCAGAGACCAGGGGGCCTAATGTCAAGTTGTAATAGGTTTTTTTCTTGCTGTTAACCTGCTTGACAAATAGGGGATAGGGAGGCAAACCTAAGCTAAAAACAAAATAAGAGCACATTTCCATAAATAATAGAAAACATATAAATGGGCATTTATTATTCAGCTCAAGTACTGATTGAGCACCTACTAAGACCTGCTAAGATCTAGAAGGATGAAGACTAACGAAACACAATTATGGTATCAAAAAACTCACTCTCTAGCAGGAAAGACACCTGTGTAAATAAATAAGTACAGCTTAGTTATTTAATAGTATGCTGTGATAGACATTGTTGTGATAGAAGTCTGAGGGGTACCACTGTGGCATGTTGGAAGAGGCATCAGTTGGGGCGAGGGGCTAACTCCTGTGGTCCTCTTGAGTGGCTTTGCTGCAGTTCCTTGCATGTTCCACATTGTGTCCCTGAGACCCCATGTTAAATATCAGGGCTTTCTCACTGCTGCTAAAACACCTACCTAGACACCATTTGGCCTTTCAGAATCTTGATAAGTTCTCGTATAGTATCTTATTCAACCGGACTACAATTTCAATTACATCTTCTGAGAAAGATGTATTGAATCCAATTTAGGAGAAATGCTGAAATCAGCTTCATAGAATCCAAAATATGTTATCCTTCTTCTAACTCCCACACTGAAGTCCCTAGTAGACTGCCCAGAGTGGGTGGAATCCACAAATCATTCAGGGAGAAGCGGCATCAAGGCAATTGGGAGACATCGGCCTCACAAAAGCAGCTCATCTTGTCACTGCTGGGCCGTCTTATTAAATGGCCACAAAAATATACAGTAGGAATCAAAGAAAAGTAAGGGCTGACTGACCTGGGCTATTTGCCCTCACTTTCAGGCCCCTGTCTTCTGAATTCTCTTTTCACTCTTTTCCAAGAAATTGTCTGATTTATGAATTTTCAAAGGGTGTTTGTGTCAGCTTTTCCTGTGCAGCACATCTCACCATTGGGTGAAATGCTTCGGAGTGAATTCCAATAAAGGAAGAGTTTTAGTGCCTTTAACCTTGCCATGGTCAATTACATTTGAATTAGAACTGTAGAGTAAAAATCTGCAGAGGAGCAGCCGTCGGTTAATGCACACAGTTTGGCATTTTGTGCTTCAGAACACTTGCACACAAACACACTACAGAGGGAAAAATAGTTTCCTTAGTAACAATTTGAAGACTTTGGAACCACATTTGGATAGAGAGAAGTCACTTGATCTTCAGCTTTGAATGTTAGACAACAAATTTCCATATTGCCATGCAAACTGACTCAGCAGGCAAAAAGCTCTCTCTTGTGCTAAGGAATGCGAGCAGTCCTGCCCTTACCCCCCATTTCTGGAAGCTAAATTAATGAGCAGGCTTCTGCAGTTTTAAAATAAGAGTGCCTTCAATTCTGGCCTAAAAAGACCCAATGCATATGACTGCTTCTCAATGAGAGGGTAACTTAACAAAATTGAAGTTCAAGGAGATAGAAGAGAGTCACTACTGTCTACAGGTAAATGTGTTAAACGTGCTTAGATACTCAAAAGGTAATTAGCATGTAAATTGAATTCTGAAGAGGTGAACACAAATAGTCGTGTCACTAAGGACCTATCTATAGTGGATATTTGGTGCCAGAGTTTGACCTGCAATCCTTTCTCCCAAGGTGATAATGAGCTGTGGAGGCTCACAGGCACTGATGGGTGGCAATGCTTACAAGGTGAGGTAAGCGGACTTCATGCACACGATCAGTCCCAGAATGTAGCAATGAAGTCACTAACATTAGCTGCCATCACTTCTTTCAAACACAAAATGTTTTTCCAGAAACCACACTGGTTTAAGGTTGAGCTTTTTGATCTTTTGAAACTGTCAGTGATTCCCAAGGAATGACTTAGAAATCAAGAGATGAGAAGAGACTTGGCAAGGTACAAAGATGGTGGCATCAAATAACATATATCCTGGACCTAACTACTTATGGAGATACTTGACCTGAAACTCCAGACCCAGACCCACTCTGTTCTCAAGATTCATCCTAAACTTAAGCAAAAAGGAATCAGGAGATCCTGGCCTATTCTCTGAACTCATCGTTAAGACTCCTTTGCTCCAAAGGGTCTGAAGCTCTGGTCATTTAATTCAAAACTTGTCTGTCTCACAGAAGAGGAATAAGGTCAGCATGGTGGTGTCCCTGTAGTCCCAGCTACTTGGGAGGATGAGGCAGAAGGATCTCTTAAGCCCAGAAGCTGCAGTGAGCCATGATCACACCATTACACTCCAGCCTGGGTGAGAGAGCAAGACCCTGGCTGGAAAATAAGTAAATAAATAAACAGTAAAAGTAAAAAAAGAAATAAAACTTGTTCTAAAGTTGTATTCCTCTCAAAGATTGAGTCTCTGTCTTGCTTTTGCCAGGGAATTTGAATTCTCTCTCTAAACTCCAGGGCAAAAACTAAGGCCTGGCAAAAACCGCAGGGCAAAACCTAAGTTCCGACCCCTTCTTTTCAAAGTCCAGCTGAGAATGGCTGGTGGAAGGCCTGATCCCCACTAGACAGACAACAGAGCTCAAAGCCCAGGGAATGTGCTCAGAGTCATCGGGGAAGGAAGCCAGAGGAGAGGAACCAAGCTAGCTGGTACAAGAACACAGGTTCTCAGAACAAAGGCAGAGAAGAAGAACCAGGACTTTGAAATAGAACCATGCCAGAAAATTATCTTAAAGGAAGCAGTATATATATACACATATATATTTTTTAACTCCAGCAAAACTTGGCTGAAAATACACAAGTACAAAAATGGGTCTGTGGCAGTAATGAGATCCTTGGAGTATGAGAGTATCCACGGAGCAAGAAGACAGAAATGAGTTTGCCCAAAGGCCTTTCCTAGCAACCATTAACTGGAAGTTGTCCCCTATGTGGCTTGCTTTGGCTCTCCTGTTAAGAGAAGGCTGAACTATTGTATGCTTATTGATTGGATGCCAATCAGCTGCATTGGCATTTTAAGACCTGCATGTTCTGGCTCTCTGGCCCCGACTGGCCACTCAGAATCCATCTGTTACTCCTTGTGATAAGTTTTAAAGAGAAATATAGAATACAATAAGAACCAATAACGAGGGACATAGCCGAGTCTGTAGAGGTCAGGTGAGCCTATCTGGTGGCATTTAACAGAATATTTGAAGGATGAAGGGGGAATTAGCCAGAAGGAGAGTGGTGGCTGGGAGCAGTTACCCAGTGAGAATGTTACAGGAAAGGGGTCCCAATCCAGACCCCATGAGAGGGTTCTTAGATCTTGCATAAGAAAGAATTCAGGGCGAGTCCACAGTGCAAAGTGAAAGTAAGTTTATAAAGAAAGTAAAGGAATAAAAGAATGGCTACTCCACAGACAGAGCAGCCCCAAGGGCTGCTGGTTGCCCATTTTTAGGGTTATTTGTTGATGATATGCTAAAGAAGGAGTGGATTATTCATGTCTCCTGTTTTTAGACCATCTAGGGTAACTTCCTGATGTTGCCAAGGCATTTGTAAACTGTCATGATACTGATGGGAGTGTAGTAGTGAGGATGACCAGAGGTCACTCTAGTGGTCCTTTTGGTTTTGATAAGATTTAGCCAGCTTCTTTACTGCAAGCTGTTTTATCATCAAGGGCTTTATGACCTGTATCTTGTGCCAACCTCCTGTCTCATCCTGTGACTTAGAATGCCTTAACTGTCTGGGAATGCAGCCCAGTAGGTTTCAGCCTCATCTTACCCAGCTCCTATTCAAGATGGAGTTGTTCTGGTTCACATGCCTCTGACATTTACCCCCTCCCTTTTATAACAGAACCCTTAATCCTAAGGGTTACAGAAGGATGAAGAGCCATCTTCTGTAACTTCTTCAGGTTGAATAGGGACAATGATATTCCTGCCTAACTATTAGAGTCTCTTGTGTTCAGCGTAGAGAGGAGCTCAGTCAGAAAGCATCAGTATGGTGAGGGCCATTCATGACTCTTGAGTTTTGACAAGAGGTGGTATCTGGAAGATTAATAAGTGTTTAGTTTAAGAAAACATTCAGTAAGGTTGTTCTGTATTGCTACACAAAGAGTATAACAGCAATGTATTCCATAAGAGTAAAGCAAAATAAGTAAAGTTATTCCAAGTAAACTAAATTAAAAGGTTTTTCATGAACTGGGCAACTGTTGGAACTAAGCTGATATGGGGTTGATAGTGGATTGTAATGTGCCCAGAATTAGAATACTGATCCAGATTTTTACATTACCCATTCCTCTTGTTTGTTCTGAGCAACAGTCAGAGATCACTGATTGGTTCACAGGAATAAGCAGAGTTAGCCTAAATTGCAGAAACAAACTTAAAAACAACTGATGAAACTAGAATGTAATAACAAGTATACCATCATTTTTGAAACATAATATTTTTCTCTTCAGTTTCCCATTTATGGTAAGACTGATTTGCTTTATTATACTTGGCCTGATTATTTGTATAAAGTGCAGCAAGAATAATTATTTTTTCACATAGGATCCTTTTAAATTGGCTTTTAATGGAATTCTGTTCCATAGAAGGAATTTCAAATAAGACTTTTTTTTAAAGCTGAGCCCAGCCAAGGTTTTGTACCCTCAAATACCTATGAGTTGGGTAAATTTCTTTGCTCTTGAGGTCCCAAGATAGCCTGGGGCTTCCGGACCTGATAGAAAGTGACATTCTTTACTTACCCCAGGTCAGAAACCCTTTACAGGGACTGTGTAGGCAAGGTATGAGGCCAGTTCCCCAAGTGATTTTTATTGGCTCTAAAAGTTAAGTTTAATTCCTTAAAGGAAAACAAAGGATTCCTGTCAGAGCCTTGGTAAAATAACAAATTTCTCCAATTGTGTCCTGTTAAAAAAGAAAACAGATTCTTATTGCACTTATGCAAATAACTATATTGCTATAAGTTAAGAATACTCACAACTAGCTTCCAAAACCTGGAGAAATCAGGTAGAGAGAAACAAATATGTTCCAAATTTTGTTCACAGCAGTATACTTTACTCAATTGCTACAAGCTGTAAATAGCTCAAAAGAAAAGTTTCCTTGACTCTGAAAAACAGAACAAAGGATCAGCAACATTTTAAGAAAAGTTAAAAAGATTACTTCAGTTTTCTTTTGGTTCAGCTAATTCAGTTAACTCCTGTTCTATTTGATATTCATGAACATTCCAGCTCTTCATGAGAGTTCTGAAAGTTGTTTCCTCTATTCTGTTACAATTTTCAAAGTTATCAGAAAACCTGCAATTAAGAATACCTGCTAGAGTTCTACAGTTGATTATAAACCACCTTCTAAAGAGGAATAAAACAAAACAACAATTGTCTATGGATAATAAAAAGTTTTAGGACAGCCACTATTAAAGCCACAATTGATAAGGAAATTTGGTTACTTCTGTGGTACACAAAACTTTACATAACAATTATAATTATTAATAACATACACAAAGTCATATAAGAATTATAGGAGTTTCCCATAACTTTAGATCATATATCAATAACACAATTACACAAATATAGTCCAAAGAAAGTAAAACACCATTTCCCATTTGATAATGCTTCCTGTATGATTTTTATACCAAATAAGCCAAGTTTCACCTTTACATTAATGTACTATTAATGTCAAACCCAATTTTTAATAAAACCTTGTAGACATATTTACCCAATTTTAATGTTTAACCATAAGGTGAGATTCTCATAAACTTTTTATAGCCATTTACATTTTTTTGTGAAAGAGCAGATCAGTGCTCTAAGGAAAACCTGTTGTGCTTCTATTCCAATGTTTAGTTTATGGAAAAACTGAATAATACCCTTTCAACTTTAGCCAATATGTTCACACACAAAATCTCTTACAATTAATTTTTATAAACCTTCCACAACTTGTTTAAGCCTTTAGATTTTTTTCTTATTTAAAACAATTATGTAACCCTTTAGGCAAAAAAATCCACATTCCCATGCTTTCTTATAATCTTTTACCAAAAGTACTTTCTACTTGCCATACACAGCCTATATGTAAAACTGTTTTTTTAATAGTCTTAATTACATGTTACAATGTTAACTTTTAGCGACTTTTACTTTTGGTAAAAACCCTGGTTAATAAGCAATTTTAATTGTGTACTAGGTGTGGAGCCTAGCCTAGGACACACCAGGCAGAAGTGCAGATAAGTGCAGCATAGCTAGGGGGCGTGGCTAACTCCACATGTCCCCAGGCCTTATCTAGAATCCAATGTCTCCAAGGTAGGTAAATTGAACAATTTTCAAAAGTCAAAGAAACAGTTTGACCTTAAGGCATTTAGAAAATCTGATGTCTGACCTTAATTTAGACTAGATGTTTACATTTTCAAAACATTTTATTTTGCCAATGATCTTTAAAACTGTCTTTATTTCCAAAAGAGTACTAAAGTCATGTGAACAAAAAGGCATTAAAGTTTCTATTTATCTGACAAAATATTTGATTTAATCACTTATTTTTCTAAGCTAATTAATTAAAACTCTTTTGTATATAAACATACAACACATAAAAATACACAGACAGGCAGAAGATTCAGCACGTATAAGATTTTTCATTTGCCAGTTTCTTAGTTGGATTACTGGCTTCAGGGTGGAGCCCTTGGAGGAACAGGGCCAGGAAAGCACGTGTTTTTAGGGCGAAATAAGCAGCTGAAGGCAAAGACAGATGCCCAAAACTCAGGGTGCCATTTTATACTAGATCCTGGATCCCCAAAAGGAGGGAAATACTTCGGGAGAAGACAGTGAGTGCAGTGCTTTTACCAGCTGTGCATTTCATCGCAAGGCAACCCAAAGCCAATCAGCCCATTTTGTAATCAGCCCATCCCTCATGTAAGTCTCATCTCCCAGTGAAGGGTGGGGAGGTTCCCTTATCTTTCAGGTGGCCAAGAGCATGCTTCTCTGATCCAAGTGTGCAAAGAGTCAAGTAACCCTCCCTAACTACTATTAGTCATCCCTTAAAGTATATTTCCTACCTACTTATTACACCCCAAAGCTCTCTCATAATGCAAAGTAATTTCTGACACCCCCAAAACTCAAAACCATCAGATAACACAATGCAAAACAGAACAGATCCTTTGATTTTGAGAGGGATCTGTCTGCCTTTAATTCCTGGGGTTTTATGAGGAAAACAGAGGTTTGTTTTTCTTTTTTTCCTGAAACGTGGTCTATGGCATCTCCTCTGTTTTTCCCAAGGAGTCTCATGCTACCAGAAGTTATCTTAGGGCCTCTCATGTGTGCACTAACAGTGGCAAGACAAAAAAAAAAAAAAAGGAATAATTCAGTCAACTGAGAAGAAAAAAACCTTTCTCAGGAAAAACATGTTCCAAGAAGAGAAAAACATAAAGACCTTTTAAATATATCTATAGCTTGTTTATCCATTTTAATTAAGCTGACTTCTAACCATAGTGCTCTTTAAAAAGGAAATCCTTGCAGATCTCTTATTACCCAACTTTAGCCATGCCAAGCAGCCAATATTTCTAGCTTCTGAACTCTACCAAAGGTAACCTCCTAGGTGCATAGAGAAAGGAAAATTTAAGACAGTCCATGGAGAAAAGAATAGACAAGGTCACACAGATATTAAACCAGAAACGACTTACTTTCTAGGTGGGGAATGGAATCCAGACCGCCACTGTGAAAGCACAAAATGTTAGCTACTGAGCTACATCAAAGGGCAGCCTCTGTTTTGTTTTTTGTTTTTTTTCCCCAGAAGAAGTTTAGAGTAGTTAATTTTGAGCTTGCAAAGGCTTTTAACTATTTAATATGATTTATAGAGCTAACTATGACATGAACCCTAAAATTCCTGTTCCCTGGAATGCAGAGACCAAAAGTACTGCCATGTTGATACAAGGTCAAGCTCCCAAGGACATCAAACAAGGTGGAGACTTCATCCAGTTTTTTTGTTTGTTTCAGGGACCTGCAGCCAAGTTTGTTGCTGACCAGCTTGCTGGGTCATCTTGAAAATCAGGCTTATAGGGGTGTTCTAAGCCCATGTTTTATCCTAAAGTACCCCTCAACACAGAAAAACGAATTAATAGCACAAAATACACCAACTTTAGACTAGACTTAGATATCTTCTTCACATTAATCAGAACTTTACAGAGGAAATAAACACTGTTTCCCCGCCGCCCCCCCCATTCATTCAACTGTTTACACACAGAGAGAGAAGCCAGAAATCTGATTGGTAAGAAATTGTTACCCTTTGGCTGGCATGCCTGGGTTCTGGGTTCCCTTTCCCTGAGTGGCCCTAGTGATCTGACTTGCAGCACCATCATCCTGGGGACCAAGCCACATCATAAAGGAAAATTGTTGTTGTTGTTCTTTTCTTCATTCTGCCCAGAGCAAAATACATGTGATAAAACATAGACATTAGTCACTTTGCTTAGCACCCAATAAAAAAACTGTCAAGGCTTAAATTTGCCCCCAGATGGGCCCTGTCATCTTTAATCCAATCTCCGACTTGGAGTTTCAACATGTGGTCTCTGGGCAAGATGGTCACCCTGAGTAAAAGAAAAGATAAGAAAGGGAAAGGAGAGAGAGGAAAACATTGCCTGTGGCAGGGTGGGGAAGGCAAAAATGATCAGAGAAGCCAGAGAAAGACCCTCCCATTGCAGCGACACTAAAAAGTTCAGGCAGCTGCTTCTTGGCAGCAAAGGGATCTTTTCCAGCAATCCTATTAGCTCTCAAGTTTCCCCTTTTTGGGAGGAAAAACTCCCCATGTCCCAAGATCCTGTACATGCCTAACCCTGTCACCCACAGCCATCAACACAGAGTACAAGGCAGATGAATCCAAAGAGAATAGCAGTTAACATCTCATAGTGTCAAACCTGTGCTTAGTCCAGAGGGACTTTACTGAGAGGGGCCTCTAAACCCCTAAATCTTAGAAAGGACTCTAACTGTCCTAACTTGCGCCTCTAACCCAAGGTCAGTCAAGCATCCTTGCCTTTTATTAAGAGGGGCCTCTACCCACTCTGTCTTAGGAGAGATTCTAACTTCCCTAAGTAGGGCCTCTAACCCAATCCCATTCTTTACCCAGGTACCCCACCATTTACCCAAAGTCATGTCATCAGTGGTACACTGTATTTCCTTTGGGTTGGGGGGGTCTCCTCAGTATTGTCCCTTTTGTGGTTCGCAAGAAAGATGTTACAAGACCCCAACACTTACCCAAAGGTAGCCACTGGGTCAGGGTCTCTGCTACAGGAAAGGGGTCCCGATCCAGACCCCAAGAGAGTGTTCTTGGATCTTGCACAAGAAAGAATTCAGGGCGAGTCCTCAGTGCTAAGTGAAAGCAAGTTTATTAAGAAAGTAAAGGAATAAAAGAATGGCTACTCCATAGACAAAGCAGCCCTAAGTGCTGCTGGTTGCCCATTTTTATGGTTATTTCTTGAGGATATGCTAAAAAACAGGTAGATTATTCATGCCTCCCATTTTTAGACCATACAGGGTAACTTCTCGACGTTGCCATGGCATTTGTAAACTGTCATGGTGTTGATGGGAGTGTAGTAGTGAGGATGACCAGAGGTCATTCTCGTGGCCATTTTGGTTATGGTAGGATTTAGCTGGCTTCTTTACTGCAACCCATTTTATCAGCAAGGTCTTTATGACCTGTATCTTGTGCCAACCTCCTATCTCATCCTGTGACTTAGAATGCCTTAACTGTC
This sequence comes from Homo sapiens, assembly GCF_000001405.40. NCBI lineage: Eukaryota > Metazoa > Chordata > Mammalia > Primates > Hominidae > Homo > Homo sapiens. The sequence goes on from NC_000010.11 coordinate 85,190,743, forward strand.
TGGGAATCCAGCCCAGTAGGTTTCAGCCTCATTTTACCCAGCTCCTATTCAAGATGGAGTTGTTCTGGTTCACATACCTCTGACAAGAAGGCATGGCCTCTGCAAAGGTCTTGAGGCACAGGCTGGCAAGGCAATTTGTTCAGTGTGTCCTGGGTCACTCTCCCCCCATATTCCCTGCCAAGCCACATCCCTGCCCTGGAGATGGCTGGTAGAAAGGAGTAAGGAAGGAAATGGCAGTATTTATTTACAGAGATGACTAACCTTCTCAGGGAAGAAAGGGCCAGGGTATGGGGGCAGTAATCTAGTGCTCAGAGAGATTGAGTTTCTTCTTTCACATCACTTTGGCCAACATTTATGAATTTAAATTAAATAGAATATTTGGCAGTTCTGACATTTCACAACATTCCATTTGACCTCCAGTTATAGCTCAAAAGTACAGAAAACCTTGTTGTCAAAATTATATACATACACACACACACATACACACTCAAAGACACACATATACATATATATATTGACAGAGAGAGAAAGTTCCATTTTCTTAGTATTGAATGATTTGAAACTCACTGTATATTTACTCAGCTGTGCACAGCAATTACCAAATAGCTAAATGGTCAAGAATTTCCACAAAGTAAAACACAAATACCTGATATTTATGCTTTAAAGTTTCCCCTTTCAAACCATCATAATTTAACCCTCAGCATGGGGATTCCCTACTGACACCAGGGTTTGAATGACAGAAGGGATCAGCCACTGTATTTTGTTTCCATCAGGATCACATTAGCAACCTGTAATTTCTCCATATTAGAAAATAGCACTAATTTCCAAATAACAAGCAGTTGTAGGATGACTTTGCCCCCTGTCACCTAATGCTACTGTCATTTACACCCCTTTTCTGTGCAAAGGCTGAGACAGGGAGCTGCTCCCTCTAGCCACTCATAGACAGGACCCTGGGGCCTCTGTGACCTGCAGCCAAGCCACCTCTCAGGAATGGTACCTCCCAGAAGTCCTGCTTCCTTCCTTCTCTCATCCCTGAGAGCCTAGGGCCTTTGGTCCCTCTCTGAAGGGAAGGATTTGCAGAAATCCTCTGCATTTTGGCATCTTTCCTGAGTGGCAGGCCATTGTCTTCCAGAGGCTTGAAGACACAATGGATTACATACAGACATACACTTATAGGAACATGGCTCAAACTGTTTTCAGAGAAGCCCTGTCTCAATATTATAATTTGTTTTGAGAGCTTTCAACTGTATTAGTTCTGAGGTGTCATGTCCAGAGAAAAGATAGTGATTATTTGTGGTTTCAGAATCCCCAAAAGCAGCTGCATTCAGGTGAGGGTTGCAAAACAGCTACACAAACCGTGGAAAAGGAGAAACACAAAGCCAGAAAGAGGAGTGAGAATTTTCAGGCCTTCAAGTTCAGGAAGACCAAAATCACAACAAAAGAAGACTGATGGTTATGAAAAAGTTTAAGTCCATTTCTTGGCACACACCATTTTCTGTGGAGATGGTGTGAGGGGTGTAATTCTAAGGGAGCAGGGTATGAGTTTAACATTTAAGAGTGCAGATGTGCAGAACTAGGTTTGTGTCCAGGGATGCACACTTGAGATACAGCACAGACTGTGAGAGTGAGGAGCTTGGCTGGAAAGTTGGGTAAGTTTCCCAGGGAAAGGGAACGACAGGACACAACTTTTCCTGTTTCAAAAAAATCAGCCTGGGTACCCCACTTCCAGATGCGAAGGCCCGAGACCTTGTTGGACTTGCTCCTTCTGGCTTCAGAAAGGAGTAGCTCTGCCACCTGACTAATCCTTATACCCAGCTAGGAAAGGGCTTGGACTGAGACTGGCCACATTGGAAAGAATTTCCAATGACATTTCTTTAGTCTAATGATACCTCTATGCTCAACAAAGACAACGGTTCTTATCAATTGCTCTGGCTCTGTACTAGCTAGTGAAAGAGAATGTGGCTTATGCCTGTCCTTGGGATGTTGATTTTGCATAGACTTGAAGGTGGAGAACATGATCAACTGCATACTGCCCATACATGTGCAGGTTTTATTCTGATGACCATAGTCTTTATTGGAAAGCTTTATTTTTAAATCTCAAAATATCCTTCCAAAGAACTTCCTGCTCCTTTCTTGTATAATGAACACAATCATACAGAAAACTGCCAGTATGGGAATAAAGCTGACTTGAGATAAAATTCAAGTTCTGACATAACTAACTGTATGACCTTGAGTAAGTCATTGAATTCATCTCCCACTACAGAGAAAGAGAGATATGTTGACCTAAAATTTGAAGTGTTGGGATAAGGAATAAATCATGTGTCATATACCAAAAGTCTAGCAATGTTCTTAATCCAGCATGTCCCAAAAAGACTTCTATTTGGCTACAAAATACATACTCTCTCCTCTAACTCCTACTAGTATCCCCAGAATACTTAGGAAAGTCTGCGCTCTCCACAACTGCTGATTCCCATTTTCCAGTTTTCCTTCTTTCTGTGAGAGTGAGAAGCAGAACATTTAGGCTGGCACATTGCAGTTCCTTTGCCTTAGGCTAACTGACCTCTTCAGATGTCAAAGTATTGTGAACTCATATTGGGAATCCCCTTTTCTGAAGTGGCCTGACAGGGCTTTGATAATCTGAGAATCTTTGGCATAGTGACTGTTCCACTGTCAGCTTCCTGCATTTATCATTTAATCAGACATGTTTAGTTTTTACAATGGATACTTTTCTTCCCAGAACAATGTTGGGATAAATATGTCATTTAAGAACCTTCCTTTATGTCTTGCTGATCTCCCATCAAATTTTATCTTGGTCACATAAAGATCAGATTGTCCTTTGTCTATGAGTGTGCAATGATTGGGGAGGTTGAGAGAAGGGGGCTAACAATAACAGCTTTTGCGGAGTGCTCCCAGAGGAGGATGTGGCAAGGACACAAGACACAGGACTCGAACTCTGCGGATGCAGGCTTGTCCATTGCAAGAAGGGGCAACCAGCCCATTTACAGATGAGCAAACAGAGGCCCAGGCGATACTCAACTGGTTCATGTTCACATGATGCTGGGTACATGTAGAGCAGATTGTTTGTTTTTTTCTGCTGCAGAATGAGGTCTTACCATGCTTCCTCTTTAGCTACCCTGAGGGTTTAGTGCTGGCCTCTCATGGTTTGCTCTTCCCAGTGCTGTCTATGGATTGTACACAAAGACTCTGGTATTGTCAAGCTGGCTTTGCCAAGTTGACAATCGATGTTACAGAGGACAAAGAATCCCAGAGGATGAACTTCTGCCACTTGACCTGGTGTCCTGGGAGATGCCTGAGTGATTGATCTTCCCTCTGGGCCCTGGGAGGACGCAGTTCAGAGATCAAAGTTCGAGGTCCCTGAGGAGGCATTAGGCTAAGAGAGTGCTCTTCACAGAAGACATGGAGACAACACCCCTGAATAAAAGGAACAGAATAATTAAATATAACTAGAAGATTAAATTTAAATTGGCACACAACCCAAATTTTAAGTTTGGGTTTTATCCTAATGTCTACCAGGGCTTTAAAATCTTTTTGTTTCATAATATTCACCAGGAAAAATAGAGGTATAGCTTATGTTAGTTCTGTAGCTTAAAATTATCTTTTAAAAAAATTCTCACACTAGATACAATATTAGGTTGTTCTTATTAGTTTTTCCATAAAAACATATTTGCAAGAATAGTCTTGTTTAAAATCTAATGGAATCATAGTTTGTAAATGCTCAGTTAAAGATTTAGGTGAATATGATTGTCCCATCAATGAGTGTTGCGGGAATTTGTTCATGGAAATTAGATTTTTGATGCTGCTTCCTTTCCCAGGTGGCATGTTATCATCTCTTTAGCTACATTTTCCATTGGGTTATTGCTGCAGATGTAGCCTCAATGTCAAAACATTTGGGAAAAACAGTATCATATTGCAAACAGCCTCAGTGATACGTTGGGGCCATTTGGGGAAGGGGACAGACTATCCAAGGTTCAACCTCATCATGTCCACACTGACCTTACAGAAGCAAGATTCACAAACCTGTGGGCTGGCTGTCCCCTGCCTGGGCTATGATTGATTTAGAAATCATGTGGGGCTGAGGCTTGAAAGCTATGAGTTGCTGGGGAGGATGGGGCTGGCAGAGGCAGCTCTAAAATTGTCAATGCATAATTGCGTGTCTGCCAGGTTATCATTATTCACTTGGGGTTGCAGCAGGGATCACATTAATACACTGACAGCTGACTCCTTAGGAGAACAGCTGAGTAGAATCTCATCCTCACCCAGGAAAGATTCAATATGCAATAAAGGTGGGGAAAAAAGCAAATCTCCTCAAAATTTCTCTCCATCTCTCTTCCTCTGTTTGATGGCCCTTTGGAAAGCTCATTTATAATGTAGCCATGGTTGCAGGGTGATTGCTATTCTGTACATCTATCCAAGAAGAGACTCTGATATGTTGATCTATGTAAGACTCTGATATGTTCAGCCACTGAGGATTCTATTTGTGAAAGAGTTTAATAGGTGTTTTGGGGAAAGGCCATGGCCCCTGTCACTGTGGAGTTAAAACTCATGGTTGGTAAGACTCTGATGTAAACCTTCCACCTTAACAGGGAAGATGCGGGAACCCGGGGCCCCTAGAAGGTTTGACATTTGATGTGATTCTGTAGTCACAGGTGTTTTCCTCAGACCAATCCTATAGACAATATCCCTTGAATTTACTGAGAGAGGAGGTAGGATGAAAAAGCAGATCAGCAACCCCAACAGGATTGCTTCTATCACAGGGCAAAATGAAGAGAGAAGGGCTATGGGTTGGGATATTCATAAAAACAAGGATAAAGTTGTTTATCCTGTTTTTAACCTGGAGAAATCTAGACTGAAAAATGGGTTGATGAGGACCCAGAAGGGAAGGGAGGAGAGCTGCCAGCAAACAGGATACCTTTAGAGGGAGTACAGGGCCCATCCTGTGCTGGTAAAAGGGTAAGTGGTGAGAAGGCCACACCAGGGCTTTATAGCAGCAGACACCAGCAGAGCGGTCCTGGTCACCAAGAGAGTAGGAAGTCCTGTTCAGGGAGTGGATGGGCCACAGAGAACTCTGTAGAAAAGGGAGGTGGATGTACCTGTAATTTCTCTCCGGCATCTCTATGCTAGACACAACTGGAGTAAGCAGTGGATGAGAACACTGGAGCTGGAATCATATCACCTGGATTCAAATCCTGTTCCTGCCACTTGCTACTATTCATGACAGTGGAAAAGTTTACCACCTGTGGCAGACATAGAGATAGGTTTCTCAGGTTCCCTTTCAAGAATGGAGTTGCTACTCAGTTGAGAAGAGTGTGGATAGCTGATGGCCTCTAGCTATTAGGCGTACAGTTCATCCACACTTATAAGCTGAAGTCATGCTGCTCTTAGGGCAGCCCTTGCCAATGACTAAGCATGGTAGAGAAAAAAGGGTCCAGGCATTTCCTTCAAAAGGGGACTCCTCTAGTGGGCAGTCTTTGCTTTGTTTCTTCTGGGACTGTGCAGAGACCTTGTCAAGTCTGCATGGTGGTCTGATGGCTCCTGATATTCTGTCACTCAGGCTGGAGTGCAGTGGCATGATCATGGCTCACTGCAGCCTTGAGCTCCCAGGCTCAAACGATCCTTCTTCTCAGCCTCCCAAGTAGCTGGGACTACAGGTGTGTGCTATCACAACCAGCTAAATTTTTGTATATTTTGTAAAGATAGGGTCTCCCAGTGTTGCCCAGGCTGTTCTCAAACTCTTGGGCTCAAGCAAAGCCCCAGCCCCAGCCTCCCAAAGTGCTGGGACTACAAGTATGAGCCATCACACCCCAGGAATTAATCCACAATAAGCTTTTCTATTTCTGACTCCATCTTAGCCACTGCTTTCCAGAGAACCTGTTAGTGCCATGGCCCTATAGCTCAGTTTCTTCACTTGCAAATTGAAGATGGAGATAATCATTCCAGGCAGACAGGAATCAGGCAATGGTGGTGCTAAGCATGAGGAAGTAATTTCACTCCAAAGCAAACAGCACATATAGAATCAGAGACTTGTGAAACATCATGGCTTCGAAACAGTCTCACCTAATGCAAAACAATCACTCAGTGGACCCAGCAGCCCTTTGTGATACTTGTGATACGTACACCGTTTCTTCAGGGCAGTTGAACAGTTGCCCAGTGGCATGGAATCCATGTTACACCTGGAATTTCAAGAAGAACAAACTATTCACAAATAATACTCTTCATTGTTTCAAACAGGGCAGACTAGAGCCTAGAGCCTGCTACAGTCTTTCCTGGACTCATGAAGCCTATATTTGCATGTCATGCAAGCCAATTTACATTGGACTTATGAGTGTAATCTCTCTAGAGAGAATGAGGTCCTTTAGACTCAAGTGTATTCTTTGTCCTTTCCTCTCTAGATATATGCATTTGAACACATGAACAACGAGCAATTTGTGTGTATCTCAAGAAAATAATGGAAATGTGGCCAAATATGTCAATAATTAGGGAAAGCTAAAAAAGAAAAAAGGAAAACTCCAGGAACTCAATTGGTGTAGTGTTTTCCCTTCAAGAATGTACAACTACTGTCATTCGTGACATTTTGGGTAACTTGTGCACTGAACCACATCTTTGGCAGTGGCTTGTGCTGCCCGCGGCTAAATCATTCTCTCACCTTGATTTGCCATGTGCATTGGCCCCAATAAATCATACCCCACTTAACCCCATGCCCCGACCTTTTGTTTCACTCTCTCAATTTCTATCTTTTTCAGCCCTTTCAGGTTTAACAAATTTTTAAATTGATATAAAATTTTAAGTGATTAGACCATGTTTAGTGGTCTGATGTCCTCTTTTCATGTCCTCTATGCATCTCTCTCTCTCTGTCTCTCTTTCTCACACATCCTCACTTTTTTTCTCTACACACACACACACACACACAGAAACACACACCTCTTCCCCCTCCCTCTACATTCACCCTTATGCCTCCCCACTTATAGAGGAAAAAAATCAGAAGTATTTTCCCGCATCAAACCTGTCTTCTGGAGAGAAGAATATATCTGTCTCATTAGATGAGAAGCAAGGTTATCTAAGTTTTCTAGGTTTACTGGAGAGTGAGTCTTGCATTCCCCATTAGATGATAAGTTCACATGCTTAGCAAGCAGAGAGGTAGAGTCGTTGGGTTTTGTAAAGAAAGCCCACTAAAAGAGGCTGCTGTTCAATCCCACCTGGAAGGAGGAAATAGGAAATTACTAGACCAACATCCTTAATGGCTACCACACTAGGAGTGTGGTCTTGGGCAAGCTACCTAATTTTTTCCCTGAATTTACAAATTGAGATGATAATCATATTTTCTACACAATAGGACCACTATAGAATGAAATGAAAAAAGAAAACCACCCAGCCCTTGCACAGTGCTTGGAATATAGCAAATGTTCCTAAATGTTAGATATTATGACTTTTGTTTCCTAGCTTGATAAAAAATTATAAAGTTTACAGTCGCAGGAAAAATAGAATTTTAACATATGTTTCGCAATTTACACTGCAGATCTGCTGTTCTTTTGACATTTCTATAATATTTCCAAGTGTAGCTATGTTTGCCCCTCTGGGACACTGAGGTATGAGGTTGGCATGGTAAGGGGGAAACATTATCTCGGTTTCCCGTTTTCCCAATACTCCACGAATGGCCCAGAGATCATGTTTGGTTTAATGTTTCATGCAACCTGCTTTTGTGTTTTACTTTTTCACAAAATGAAGTGTTAATGCATGAAAGATCATTTACATATGGCCTACTAGTTATTTAAGAAAACAGCAATTAAACATGTTGAGATAATTAACAGTGTTCATACGATTAACAATGCTTTTTAGATGCTAGACATTAATGGAGTAGATGCCAAATAAATGTAATCCTACACTTCAGTTAGGATTTCTTTGTTAATTATATTAATTTACAAATTAAAAACAACAATCAAACAATCACATTCATTCAAACACAATGAGTATTTTAAAAGTTGAAATAATCAAGGGGAGTTTCTGCTCTGAGGACAGAATGGGATGGATTAACTGTATTTTCTGTTCCCACCAGAGGACAGAGTAATTAAGGACAAGAAATATCCTGCTACACTGCAGGCTACCCAAAATGGACTCATCCAACCCTTTCATAAGCGTAGTTTTTTTCAAGCTAACTTGCCTACTGGTATCCAACAAAATGGAATTGTTCTGCAGCTGTGATTCATATGCCCTTCTGTGGATCTCATTCCTGTGTGACCTCACAATACAGTACGGATTTTAACTGAGACACATGGAAACATCAGGTGAGCCCCCCTCTCAGAGCAGCATCTCAGCTACCTGGGCCTGTGGTCACAGACCTTATAAGTTGGGGTGATTCATATCCACTCATATTCACAGCAACATTCACAATCCCAGGACTGCTCCCAGATCATCACAGTCTATTTCTGAAGGTGGTGACCCCAATGCCATTGCTATGGGGCATCCGGGAACGTATGTCCCTCCAGTGTCTGCTGAGCCACTGGTACATGCAACAGTTCCATTGTTAGGCAGCGGAATCCAGGGTAAATAAATTTAGACACACCAGCTCCACCACTGACTGGCTGAGTGGTCTTGGGCAAGATTACTTGCCTCAATATTTCTAAAAGTGTAAAATGTGGATAGGATATTATTATCTAGTTTATGGAGTTATTTTGAGGATTGAAATGAGATAATCCCTTGAATGTTAATTTCTTCCACTTGTTCTGGATGTGTTTAAGCCCTTAGTATTCAGGCAGTTGCAGCAGGGTTCATTTAATTTGGAAGAGAGGGAGGGAGAAAGAAGGGAAGAAAGAAAACAAATCAGAAAAGAAGAAAGAAGGAAGGGAGGAAGAAGGAAGGAGGAGGGAGGGAGAGAGGAAGAAAAGAAGGAAGAAAGTGAGAGAGGGAAGGAGGAAGGATAAAGGAAAGGAGGAAGAGAGAGGAAGGGAGGTAGAGATGGGAAATTTAAATTCTTTAGTTGGCTGTCTCATGGATCTACAGTCAGGAGTGGCTCTGGCTGTACAGATAAAGACTGTAAATTTAAGGGGCAATAAAAGGGAGGTGAATAGTATAAGTGATAATTGGAACCTGGGTTTGATTCCCAGATTATGGCAGGGAAGGTAATTGGCATTGATTGATCATCTATATCAAATTTGACCCTGTGTTTGACATTTTACCCACACTCTTTTCATACAGTTGGTGAGTTTCTAGGCTCTGATTTGAACGCAAGTTTCTATCTACATCTCTGATTTCACAGAGGTCAAGACCTAAGTTACTTTCCTAGTCTCCTTTGGCCTATTGGGTCTGTTTGTGTCCTGAGCGATGGACTGTCCACTTGTCTGGTTGTCAGCTTCCTCCCCAACAAGTTCTTGGGTACCCCCATGTCACAAGGCTCCAGAGAGGAGCTGTCAGATTTCCCACCCTGGGTGAGAAGATGGAGAAAGACCCTAAACATATCTTCATGTGCCAGGACCCACAGGCTCAAAGAAGTGCAGTCATTTCTTTGTTAAAAGCATAGCTGAGTTTGGGGTCTCTGTCTGCTTTGAAAGTACTTCTGGCTTCATGCGCAAAACTAATCATATATCCCTCTCCTGATCTTCCACAAAAGATAATAATTTGAGCTTCTATAGGCAAAGCAATTTTTGTTTACAAACCCTGGATCTAAAAAAGCATCAGGATTTCAAGTATTTTAATGTTTATGGGCCTTTGTCCTACTTATTCCCTCTGCCTGCTTAGTTTTCTCTTGTACTTTCACATCCCATCCCGCTAACCTGGTAAATTATTGTGGATTTTTTCAACATTATCCTAATAATCACCTTCTCCAGGGAGCCTCCCCTGATTATACTCTTCCATCCAAATGTGGGTTTGGGTCTGTCTTTCTGGGACTTCCATTATCATTATCATCACTCTGAGCATTAAGTACCTCTTTGAGCTTCTGTCCTCCTTAGTACACCAAGTTCCTCCAGACATACTCTATGGCTTGATTTCTATTCCCTAATACCTACCTATTCATGCTGAGATCTAAGGAGGTTCACCCTCCCAAAAATGGTCATACTCAAGTGGATTAATTAATCTGATCAAGATGTTGAGGTCCCATGGAATCCAAACAGCTCTAGCAATTCAAGCAATTGTTGTTAGAGGACTCCCAGCATGTTCTTATTAGGATGAGCACAGTTGAAACTCATTAGTATGTCCCATCCATACTCCCTGGAAAGGGAGTGAGATTTATTTAGAGCAGGCAGTTTAATCCAGCTTCCTTCACTACATTCATCTATAGCCATAGGGACTGAGAAGAAGGTCAGAAATTATCCCACGATTTAATCAATGCAAGAGCTAATCTCGGCACCTCAAATGAAAGGAACCACCTGTTCATCAGCAGCCCTTTTTTTGGTTATCATCACAGTTCATTCTGAAAGTGAAATTTTCCTTTTGTTCCTGTTTTCTTCTCCTTGGCATTTTACGGTGCTGTGAGGCAGCCCTTCTCAAATCTACATGCATCTGAGAATCAACCAGGGATTAATCAACCAGATTCAGTTAAAATACTGAACCTGATTCAAGAAGTTTGGGGACGGGTCTGAGATTCAGAGATTACAACAAGCTCCCAGGCTAAGCACTGCTGCTGCTGGTCCATAGAGCACACATTGAGTAGCAAGGGTATAGAGACACAGTTCTCAACCTCAGCTGTACATTTCAATTACCTGTGGAATTTGATAAAGGGTCCATTCCTGAGCCCTGTCTCAGACCATTTAAATCAAACTATGGATGAGGCCCAGGCATGGCATTTTTTAAAATCTCTTCTGGAAATTCCAACACATAGCCAAGGCTGAGAACTGTTGGCGTGGACCACAAAGTGTTCCCAAAATGTAATCACCAGAATAGCAGCTTCAGCATCAACTGGAAACTTGTCAGAAATACAAATTCTCAGTAAATAGATACACAAATTGTGGCCTACACAATGACTGAAATATTATTCAGCAATAAAATTGAGTGAAATACTGGTACATACTACAACATGAACAGATCTCAAAAACACTATGCTAAGTAAAAAGAAGGTCAACGAAAAGGATCATATGTTGTGTGATTCCAGAACAGGCAAATCTATAGACACAGAAAGTAAATTAATGGTTGCTGGGGACTAGGAGTGGGAACTGGGAGTGACTTCATAGGTACAAAGTTTCTTCCTGGTGTGATGGAAATGTTACAAAAATAGACTGCATTGATGGTTGTACAAATAGGTAAAATTTTTAAAAATTACTGAATCGTACACTTAAAATGGTTGAACTTTTTAATATGTAAAGTCTATCTCAATAAAAAATAATGTAAATGTTCTTGCCACACCCAGACATAGTAAATCGGGAGTGAGGCCTATCAATATGTGTTTATCAAGCCTTCCAGGTGACTCTGAGGCACACTCATCTTTGGGAACTCCTGGTGTGGAGTGGGAAGGTCTTCAGAGTTCCCTGCTGCTAGGGTAGGGACACTGGTAGGAGTTTTAGAATAGAACCACCAGAAAACTGCTCCAGGTCATTGCAAAGTGAAGGCAAAATAGCATTCCAGAAACAATTAAGAGTGTAGAATACAAGATTTCTCCTATTACTAAGAGATTTTTACTCCACTGTTTCTGGAATGCTACTTTATGAGAGTAATTTTCCCAGGCTGCCTTCTCTTAGCCTAGGTAGCCTAATCTGTAATGCGAATAAAAACAAATGCCTTTCAGGCTTATTGTGCAGATAAAATTAGGGACAAACATGAAAGCTCCCAACAGTAATAGACTCATATTGAGCACTTACACAGCATATAGTGAGGAGAATAACAGATATGGGTCTATTTTCCTTCACATAAACTGCCATGATTTTGCCTCTTCTGAGAAGCCCATTCTGGAGTTTTCTGTGGTACTGGGGAAGCTTTCTGCCACTTTATTTAGAATACTTTTTGTTTCCCCAGCAAATCCATATTATTCTGGATCTTTTCTCACCTCTCAGGTCTTACTTAAGGCTGCTTATTTTCCAAGATATACATACGTATTTGCTAAGCTGAAGAAAGCTTTAGGAGAATGCCCCGATTCAGTTCTATCCTCTTTGTTACTGCCAGAGAAGAAACAGCATTTTTGCCACAGAAATTGGCACCCCTGAAAAGACTCCTGCTCTTATCTTGGAGAGGAGAAATTGCTCTTTGCACTCCTTAATCTAATGGGTAGACTAAACATCACAGGAGAAGAATAAGTGCATGTTCCCCAAAGCCGTCCACAATATATACTAAGACAATCTGAGCTCAGCTCCAATGCAACAACAAGAAGTAGATAGAATTTGCCTCCAGTAGAATATATTTTAGGGTGACATATAGCACTTTATAGCAATTGAAGCTTATGTCAAGTTGTAATCAACTAATCATTAGTAATCATTGGTAATTCAGATGTGAATCAAGCTAATTTTCAGACAAACAGCCCTTCAGAAGGCCCCACTGAATTTCATGCACAGGTGCTTATGATGAGCAGCAGCAGCATTTGGACCCAGGGAGAAAGCCCTAGAGCTGTATGGTGGGGCAGTGAGACAAGGAAGCCATGGCTAAATTGCTAAACTCTCAGTCATCTTTTTATGCCTCTTCCCACCGTTAGGCAGCCCACGAAGAGACAGAGCCATTTTCTTCTTCCCTGAAGCTCTTTTATGCCCTTGAAAGGCATTCATTTCAATTGGCTTTGTCTTCCAGTTGCTCAGTTAATGTACCGTGATTCAAATGGAAAAGGCTTCATCCCAGCCAGTATAATTTGTCTGCCATCTATGTCCCATTATAAACTTCTCTAAGGATGTGTCTGTGTCTTGTCCACTGATGTGTCCTACACAGAGAATCCTGCACATTGCAGCAGAGCACTATGCACTTAACATGCTCTATTAACAGTTAATATTCACACTGCTCCTGTGAGGACAGTATTATTATCTACAATTTTTCAGGAAGTACATAGTAGAACTGGGGCATGAATCCATGCCTCTCAAACATCAAAGTCCATATTCTTCATTTGTTCCCTCTTTATCTCATTCCCTATTTGTATCTAGAAATAAGCAGCAAGTTTGCTGTCCTGGAACTTGACCCTCCAGTTTATCTCCTAGTTTCTGAGTTATTTGGGATAATAGAGATTTATAAGCCTTGCAAGTCCATGCAGTGACAAGAGAGCAAGTCTATGCTCCCTCCTTGCCGTTTTCTGAGGCAGCCCCAATTGTTTGAGCCAAATCCATCTCTGCCGAGACCTCTGAGTCCAGTTCTGCCCATAAGCTCTTTAAACAGCTTGCTCATCCGGTCTATAACAGTAAAAATCCCTGGTACGACAAGCCAGGAATTGCTTGAAATTCCAATTAAGCCAAGTTTTACCAAAGCCTTTTCCATTATCTCAGTAAGCTGCTTTCTACATTAAAAGGCTCCTCTTAATTAATTCTTTGTGCAGGTCTGTGGACATGCAATGCTTTATTATGACCCGTGAATTCAAAAGCAAGGAAATAAAGTGTAGATAAGCAGTACATTGAGCTCTTGCTATCAAATCAAAGCAGCATCATGGTGCCCTGTCGCTGGTCGTGGCTAATTGCTTTTCACATCAAAAAAGAAAGCAACCCTCAATGGACGGCTGCAGAAGACAGTAAAGGGCTCTTTCTGGTCTTTGGTATGAATAATGGCATCTCCTAAGGGGTTGCTTGTATAACTGTGTCACATCCTCCTCTAGACAGAAAACAGAGGCAGCAGAAAGATGACCCTCTATTTCCCATATTTCTAGCCCAGTAGTGAATGCAGATGAGGGGGTTGTTGCATGAATAAATGCATGTGGAGAGAATGTTTGCATGATGCTCACAGATTTCTGGCTTCTGACATCTTACCACCAGATGACTTCCTGTTGAGGGTTCCATCATAGAGCACCCATCCTACTGAAACTGGCTGCTTTTCTTGTATCTACTGTGCTCTGCCAGTCTCCGAGGTATCAAAAGCCACTGGTTTCAGAGGCCCAATCTCCCTCCAATGCAATCCTATGTAGAGATATTGAAGCAGTAGACCCCCTGTTTAGCTTAACCCAGTCTTGTTCAATGCCAAGTTAGAGGCTAAAAAAGTGGAATTGCTTCTATTGGGTATACAGGCTCAACCTGGTCCTCTGTGGACTTTGTGTTTCTCTGATCCTGTGATGTTTATTTTCCCTTTTCACTCACGAGTTCAACTTAACACATATTTTGTTTTTGTTTGTTTGTTTTAAATCACATTCCCCAGGATCTACTGCCAACCCCCGAAAAAAAAAATCCCTCTTACATTTTGCAATGTTTCCCCTTCGTGTAGTTGTTGCTCCAATGTTAGATTTGCCCAGACTCGAATTCTCTATGTAAAAGTCAAGGTCTCGCTGACTTAGACAGTTTCTCTGGGCAGAGAAGTCAAGGCAGGCAGTTCTGAATTTGGAGTTAAACAGGATCCTTGGGAACCAGGGATCTGGCTGCATGTGGTACTAGCAGGGTGAAAAAATGATAATGAGGAGGAGAAAGGGGAGTTTCAATTCAGTCTGACAACAGGTTTAGATTTTAAGTATGCTGGGATAAAGCTTTAACAAAATTGATACCATGCCCACAAATGGGTGCTACGATAAAATATGTTCAAAGTATCTATTTCTTTCTCTGGGGCTCAGGGCACTGAGCTATAAGAGGCTGGGTCCTTACTTGTAGTGTTTCATTATTCATTGTGCAGTATGAGCTGGCAACTGAATACAGGGTTGAGAGTTGTCAGAGTCACGTCTATTCTCCAGAGTGTGCAGATTGACAACCTTAGTTTTCATGAAGAAGACATTCTGAAGGTATTTCTAATTGCTTTCATTGAAAGCCATAAACAGAAACGACTATAGCAGATAAGGTGAGATGGCTTCTGGGAATAATATCTGCCTCTTAAGATTATGCTTGATTTATGGTTTTGCATTACTGAATTCTAGGGTTCTTCCTCCTACCTCTCTCTAAAAGCCATTTCTTTATCTCCATCCACACTGATAGATGGTTTAAGTTCAAGCAAAAGCCTTTTCTCACAGGGTATATTACAGCAGCCTCCTCTCTCACCCATTGCCCTACCAACTCCACGAAACGCTTGGCGCTATCCTTATAAAAAAAAAAAACTGACTGTGTCAAGCCCCTAAAAAACCCTACCATAGTCCCCTATATCCCCCTTTGGGGTGAAGACCACATTCCCCCATCATGGAGGTGGGAAGGTTGATGAGACACCACTCAGCACGAGGCAGGCATTCATGTTAGGGGACACCAAGCCCCGCTGCTCCCCAGCCTCCCCTCTCACTTGTCTGTCTCCTCCTCTCGTCTATGACTTTTTCCTTAATGTGTGTTGGCTTCCTCAGCATCTCTGTGTTTTGTTACTCCTAAAATGTTTTCAATTAGCTCATTTATGTCACCATCATTTATAAATAATTGCTTTAGGTCAGGTAATGCTGCAGGCTCTGAAGACACAGCCGTGAACCAGAGCAGCCACTGCCCTCATGGAGCTCACCTGGACAAGGAGGCGGGGGTGTTTTCATGGAAGGCAGCCAAGAAGGCTTCCTTGTTGAGCAGAGATCTGAAAAAGGGGAAGGCATGGGTCTTAAGGGACCAGCGTGGCTGGAGGAGGCAGTTGTGGGGAGAGAGGAATGTGATAAAGTCAGAGAGAGGTATAGAAGACATGTGGCCAAATATAAAGAGTTTTAATTTTATTTGCAGTAAAACAAACAATTACTGGAGGACTGTAAACAAAGAGGTAACATTGCTTGGGTTTTCCAAGGATTGTGTAGGCTGCTACATGGAGAGCAAGTAGACTGAAGGGGATATGGTGGAAAAAGGAAGGACAACGGGGAGACTATGGGGTGACAGTGGTTATGATATAGGTGGTAAGCAGCTGAATTCTGCGTATATCTAACTGGATTTGCTTGTAGATTGGATGAGTGGTATAGAGAAAGAGAAGAAGTACGAAACAAGGAAGAATTGTTCTAACATTCTTGGCCTGGATAATTCCAATAACCTAAATGGTAAATACTCAGAGAATAGCAAGGGGGAGGAAATACATATCTTTTCACACTGCTATCAAATATCCAATTCCCTTCCTTACCTGCCTGCCATCTCCACTACTTCCACCCCTCTGAGCTACTCTAACTAGAAGTTGTTCATTATCTGCAGCTCAACTCTGGGTTCCTGAAGCTTCCACCCACTGGTCCCAATTCCAGTCCAGGCACAGAATTCATCTAAGTCATGGTCCATTGTCAGTGGTGATGTCCCTCGTGGAACTTCCCTGAAGGCCATGCCTGACATCCTCAGCCTAGTCACTCCCTTTCATACTTTGTCCATCTCAGACACTTCCCTCTGAGTACTTCTAGTTTTTCTATATTCCCATTAAAACTGGTATTCAGGGCTGGGCGCGGTGGCTCACGCCTGTAATCCCAGCACTTTGGGAGGCCGAGGCGGGTGGATCATGAGGTCAGGAGATCGAGACCATCCTGGCTAACAAGGTGAAACCCCGTCTCTACTAAAAATACAAAAAATTAGCTGGGCGCGGTGGCGGGCGCCTGTAGTCCCAGCTACTCGGGAGGCTGAGGCAGGAGAATGGCGTGAACCCGGGAAGCGGAGCTTGCAGTGAGCCGAGATTGCGCCACTGCAGTCCGCAGTCCGGCCTGGGCGACAGAGCGAGACTCCGTCTCAAAAAAAAAAAAAAAAAAAAAAAAAAAAAAAAAACTGGTATTCAGGAGGAACAAAAACTACCAGGTGGAATTGAAAAAAGAATTCTAGAAAGACACCTCTCATTCTAGAATATTTATTTTTTTTCTAGAATATTTACTTTTTTATTTCTTAAAGAAGGATCACACCTTATCTACATTGCTGCCTGACCCTGTGCATGGTCTTGATCGATCATAACACATCCTCACTTCCATACCCTTCAAGCCAACATGAGCCCTCTTATATACTCCAGGGTGAATCACATCCTGTGTGACTCCCAGAGGCTTCCCATCAGTTCTGTCCTAGCTTAAGTCTCTACTACATTATGAACTACCTGGCCATTCTTGCCTCCTTTCTGTTCTTGTCACACACCTAACCATTGCTCTCCCAAGGTCTGACACCTACCACTCTCTTGGCGTCAAACTTTTCCATCAACACCATCCGTGATTGGTTTAGTCTCATCTTCTGGGTTTCATCTCTGCTATTACCTTTTCAGAGAAGCACACCTATCCTGACTACTTTATCTTAAGCAGTACCCGGTTACTTCCCACCTGTACATTCATAGAACCTATACCTATTTGTAATTGCCTTACTGACTTATTAAGTTATTTGTTCATTGGCTACCACCCCACCATAATGTAAGCCCACTAGGACAAAGGAGCATGTTTGTCTTGCTAAGTGCTGTATCATCAGCATCCCTAAGGCCTGGCACCTAGTAGGGTTGCCATGCTCTACAGGATGAGTGGAGGATTCTGAGGCATGTTAAAGTGCAATTGTAAAGGCCAAGGCACAGAAAGAAAATGAAAATTCACCTATCTCCAAATAAATTGCTGATAAAATTTTGTGCAAATCCATCTGAAACTTTTTTTTTAACAAAGCTGCTTTTCTTAAAAGATGAAAACATACCAAATATGATGATTCATAATTTTAAAAAATGTAGCATTAGATTGTGAGCATCACTCCTTAAGAACTAGTATACTAGTAACCATATAATGGTAATCATATTTTTCTATTAATATATGAATCACATTTGATTATTATATATGATATTTAAAATGTGATGATATGCTTAATGGTTGCCTTTTATTATATCATATTCATGTACCATAATTTAAATACAGTTTATTTTCAGATGTTTAATCTCCCCTTTCCCAATTTGGGAGTTCATAAATAATATTTCATGGAAGAAATTTTAACAAATTTATCTAAGCACCTATTTCTAATTATTTACCTGTCATATATACATAAAAGTAGATTTGCTGGGTTATTTTTTATTCTTTTACTTATTAACTTATGAGTTTTTTTAAATTTTAAGATTAAAGACCGCATTAGTCCATTCTCGCACTGCTATAAAGAACTACCAGAGACTGGGTAATTAATAAAGAAAAGAGATTTAAATGGCTCATGGTTCCACAGGTTGTACAGGAAGCATGATTGGGGAAGTCTCAGGAAACTTTCAATCATGGCAGAAGGAGGAAGGAGTCACGTCTTACATGGCCAGGCAGGAGGAAGAGAGAGCAGGCAGAGGTGCTACACACTTTTAAACAACCAGATCTCCTGAGAACTCACTCAGTATCCCCAGAACAGCAACGGGGATTGTCCCTATGATGCAATCACCTCCCACCAGGCCCCCCTTCAACACTGGGGATTATAATTGAACATGAGATATGGGGAGGGACACAAACCTAAGCCATATCAAAGACAGATTCTGTATGTCTTATGTATTGTCCTCAGTTTTCTGCTTCTACAATAAATTTCTAGTAAATTTTTTCCTATATAACTTTTCAATTTTGTTTTGTAAAATCTATTAACTTTTTTCTTAATGGATACTGCTTTTGATGCCATTCTTAGAAGGTTTCCAGAAGCTAATAATTAACATATATTTGCCATTATTTAATTTTGTTCATGCTTTTATCACTTAACTGTAATTCCAAAATTATTGTGTATATAGTAGAGTGAGCACTTAAATTACATTTTTCTCCAGTGATTACCAATTGCTTAATTTTAAAAACAGGCAATCTTTTCATCTTGTGATTAAAAAAGATTTCTATCATATATATTATCTAGAAACCTTGTTGAATATCTGGGCTTCCCTTTATTACTTGTTATTATAGTTTTCTATATTGGTTATTATATGTTTTATAGCTTAATGGTCCCAAAGTTTTGCATCAGTTTGATGCTAGTTTCATATAGTTCATTGAAGTTTGCATTAGCCTCTTATTCTTTGATAGCTCAAATAGCATTGGATAAAATTCTTTCAAAGAACAATCTAGCTTGAACACTTATTTTTGAGGTGGTTCTTTGACAATTTTTATCATTTCCCATCACAGCTAATAATCTTTTTGCTCTTCTAAGTTTTTTTAAAAATAGATCTTGGTAATTTGTATTTTTTTAGAAAATTTTTCATGCACCAACAATTGTATGTTATCAAGCTTGAAATGACATATTCAATTCTGTAGTTCCATTGGAATTGTTTCACTTATTCTTACATCTGTGGGTATATCCTATTTTACATATATAATGTTATATATTTTGGGGTTTTTATTTTTGTCATTTTTACTACTACTAGAGACATATACGTATTATTGTTCTTTTCTAAGAATCAGGTATCAGAATGCTCAGTTTTGTTTCATCTTATTCTAATTCACTAAGTCTTGTCCTTATTTTCGTTATGTTTCCTACGTTTTTCTAGGAAGTTTTTGTTGTTACATTCTTGTTTCTAGAATTAAAAATTTGTTTCATTAGTTTCTTCTTATTTAATAATACTAAATAATTAAGCATGTGAATTTCTTGAATATAGCTTTGTGTGAGATAATTTTTTAGCTATAGTGCTAGCTTGACACTAACTTTGAAAAAAATATTTAAAGATAACTTTGTTCTCTGCTTTAATCAAGAGTTAAAAAATGTTTGGAGACTTTTGGTGAATTTTCTCTTATTTAGTTTTAAATATGTTAATCATCTTTATACTTATAATTATTAAGTGGTTATTTTATCAAAATGTGTTATTTAGTATTAAGTATTTGGTTTGTTTGCATTATAATTTGTCAATTTTGACAGAATTTCTACTCCTGAGTTAGTGAGATTCTTTTTTAGTATTGGTTATGATTTACCTGTGTAAATATACTGTTGGCATCAAAAATGTCTTTTCCATAAGTGTATATTTGATATACATGTATTAATGAAACATTAATTAAGGAAGCCCTCCATATAATTTAAAGAAATTGTTCTCAATGTGTCAAAGACAGAAATTTGTTTTGGACTGTCACTATAATTATGTTATTATCAATTTCCCTTTCATCTTCTAACAGTTTTTAAAATATTATTCAGTGATTTATCATTCAGTTCATAAATGTTGTAGCTCTGTTGTGAATTATTCCGTTAAAATATGAAGTACACTCAGTATGTGTGTAGACCTTTGCCCATACATTCTCGTTTGTCTGAGGTTAATCCTGCTGCATCTGCTTTCTGCATTCCATTTGCCTGATCTACTACTGCTCTTCCCTCTGAATTTTCTGTTTCAAGCCTGTCTGCAAATAGCTTTTATTCTAATTTGCGTTTGTGTTTTGAACATGTGTGAGACATCACCTTTAATAATTTACGTTATTTTTATAGCTTAAATGTTTTGATTTACTTCAATTCTCTTGTAATTCCTTGTATTTTTCTTTTTCTTTTCATTCTTGATTTTTTTTTCAACTGCTTTGGAAGTAGTAGCTTTCATAGGTAAATTAATAACTTTGTTAAGTTATTTCATCCAATTAAATAAAAATCAATTTGATCCAGTATGTGGGTAAATGTCATGGTCTGGGAATGTAAAAATGGCCTGGGTTTTTCCCTTTAGAAACTCCCTTGTTATATAATACAGTCACTACAAATACCCCTTGCAGCACCAAGGGAATGATGGTCTCCATGCTCAACCTCACTTATTTTACCTTCCTTCTGCCCACTCTATTTTCTCTTGTGTACCAGATGATACAATATTGAAGCAGCTATGTTGTCTAGGGTATATCCCTGGGGTTTGTTGTTGTGCGCCAGAAAAATTTAGGACACGGACATATGTGAGGAGTTTAGGAGCTGAGGTTTAACAGATAGAAGAGAAGAGAAGGAGAAAACAGCTTCCTCTATAGAGGAAGGGGCCTGTCTCCCAGTGGAAAATACCGGCTGGCGACGAATTTGCCGAATTTTATAGTCCACTTTGAGGAGGCAGTGTCTAATTTAAATAGGGCTCATAGATTGGTTGGATCAGTTATGAGGTTTACATAATGGAACCACCATTTTGAACATGTCTAGTCCTTAGTTCCTGCCTGCATTCACCCGTGCAAGCTCCCAGCTTGCTTGTCTATGTCTGCAGCTGAACTTCACAGGCTGCGCTTTGTTAGAAAATGATGTGGGGCTGCTTTTCATTAAAAAGAAAAGCCTTAATGAGGACTCCCTTGCTATCTGCCTAAGTGATTTCTTCTTGACTCCTATATCAATGGCATTATTATTTTAACCTGATATTTAAAAAATTAAGTCTATACAAAAGCTTTAAGAATAGTAAAATGGACATACACATACTCTTTTCTTCGATTGACCAAATAGTATTTTTACATTTGCTGTGTGTGTGTGTGAATCATTTAATAATAAGAGATAATTATAATGACCTTTAATTCCTAAATTATTTGCACAAGTTTCTCAAGAATAAAGACGTTATTTTATATAACCACAGTGCAATTATCAAATAGTGGAAATTCAATATTAATAAATTATTCTTACCTAATATACAGCCAATGTCTGAATGTTGCTAATTTTTCCAATAATGTCTCTTAGCAAAAAATAAAATCTTTTTTTCTAATAGGCACCACCGTAGCCAACTGATTGAAGCTAGCATTATCACTATTGGGACAAAACTGTATCACATGCCTCTTGATATGATATACTATGAAAGATGCTACATCACTTTGATGATATCCTGCCAAAAATGCATAACCTGAATCTAATCATGAGGAAACATCAGAAAAACCAAGTTGAGTGAAATTCTACAAAATAATTGGTCTATACTCTTCAAATATGTCAAGGATAAAAAACACAAAGAAAATATGAGAAACTAATCCAGATTAAAGGAGATTTAAAGGACCAGACAATTAAGTGCAAAGCATAACTCTGAATGGAGATGGAATAAAAGAACTCTAAGGCAGAGGTTGGCAAACCAGTTCTGTGAAGAGCCAGATAGTAAATATTTTAGGCTGTATGGACCATATGGTCTATGTTGCAACTTTTCAACTCTGTGATTATAGTGTGAAAGCAGCCATAGACAGCACGTAAACAAATGGGTTTGGTTTTGTTCCAATAAAACCTTATTTGAAAACAGATGGTGGGTGAGCCATAGTTTGTAGACCCTTGCTTTAAAGAGCATTATTGGCACAAGTGACAAAATTCAAAATGGACAGAGGATTAGATAATGGTTTTTGCTTTATCAGTGTTACATTTCCTAGTATTGGAGTGAGGGGATAAGATGGCCAATTAGATGCAGCCAGGAAGTGTCACTTCCACTAAGAGAGACCAAATAATCAAGTAACCTATCATAATTTGGGCAGGTGTTTGGAGATAAAACACTGAGAGTGGATAGAGACGCAAAGCTGAAGCCCAGGATGAAGAGAGAAGAAGCCGAGAATCCTGTGCAGGGTGCCTGAAAGCCAGGGCTAGTTCCTGGCCCCTAAGGGCTCCTGGGAAAGGGGAGAGTGAGGGAATTGAGGGGTGGCACATTCTCACTGCAGACGTAAGAGACCCTAGCTACAGAGGACCCTGAATCTCCCATAGATGTGTGACCTGGTAAAAGGATCTCCCCAAGGAGCAGGCAGAGACAGGCCTTTGAATGGCATGGAAACCAATATCTTTTGTGTGCTGGACAGCTCCAGAGGAAAGAGGCCATAGATACCCAATCCCCAGGGATTCCCATTCCCCTCCAGGGGGTGTGGGCCTCAGCTGACCTCTGAGCCAGGAAAGAGCAAGGTCAGCTTCCCATAGGAGCATCTGTTCTGCAAGCCCTCCTGCCCACTGGCTCCTCCCAGGGTCCATACCAAGCCACCCTGTAGAAATGGGTGCACAGCACAGCCCCTGCAGTCAAGCCTGAGTGTGTTGTTGCATCTAGGTATTTTCCCAGTGACCCAGGAGCACATTAAATCCCCCAGCATAGCCAGAACCTAAACTTGAGCAATGGAATGTCCGGGAGCCCTGAGGGCAGCAGTGTACAGCTTGGAAGTGTAGAGTTGAGATCTGTGGCTGTCAATCAAGTGGGGGAGGAGCCTCCATTCTCAGAGCACTTAGAGGGATGAAATGCATGGGTCCCTAGTCCAGGGCAGGAGCAGGATGTGCCTCCCTCCACAGGACCTGTTCAGAGAAGGTGTGGTATATCTCCTTGCCACAGCTTCTGCCCAAGGGGTTCCTGCAGCCCAAAACACCTTACCAAAAAAAATGTGAGTGCAGTGGCAGTGATAGGAGGAGCAGACCTGGATGAAGGGGCCATCTCTCTTTCCCCATCCACTGCAGAGCATGCCTGCAAACACAAGGAAGTACAAAATAGCCCCGTGGCTGTGTATTAACCTATCTACAGGTTAATATACCAGTAAATGGTACCCTTAATTACCATTTACTCTATCAGAGCCCAAACTATAGTACCAAAAATTTATCCCATTAATAATACACACCCATGAAACCAAGTGCAACAATTCACCTACACATAAAGATTCTGTACAGAGCCATAGCCCTTTGAAAGCATCCAGAAGTGAAGCCAATTGACTATACTCAAATTACATCATAATTAAAGGAATATCAACCCTTCCAGATGCGAAAGAATCAGCACGAGAACTCTGGCAATTCAAAAAGCCAGCGTGTCCCCTTACCTCTAAATGATCACACGAGCTCCAAAGCAATGGTTCTTTATTAGTCTGAAATGACTGAAATGACAGACATAGAATTCAAAATGTGAATTGCAAAAAAATTCATTGAGATTCAGGAGAAAATTGAAACCCAATCCAAGGAATCAAAAGAATCCAGTGAAATGATCCAGGAGCTGAAAGATGAAATAGCTGAAAGAAGAAATGTTAAGAAAGAACGAAATTGGACTTGTAGAGATGAAAAAATCCCTACAAGATTTTCATAATACAATCATAAGTATTAGTAACAGAATAAACCAAGTGGAGGAAATAATCTCAGAGCTCGAGTACTTGTTCTTTGCATCAACTCAGTCAGACAAAAATAAAGAAAAAAGAATTAATAACAATGAAAGAAAACTCCAAGAAATGCAGACTTATGTAAAGAGACCAAATCTATGACTCATTGGCATTCCTGCGAGAGATAGAGAAATAATGAGCAACTTGGAAAATATATTTGAAGATATAGTACACAAAAAATTTTCTAATCTCTCTAGAGATGTTGGCATGCAAATCCAACAAATACAGAAAATCCTAGCTAGATACTATACCAGATGACCATCCCCAAGGCACACAGTCATCAGATTCACCAAGATCAATTCAAAAGAAAAAATCATAAAGAGAACTAGAGAAAAGGGTTAAGTCACGTACAGAGAGAACACAATCAGGCTAGCAGCAGATATCTCAGCAGCTCTCTCTGCAGAAATCTTATAAGCCAGAAGAGATTGGGAGCCTATTTTCAGTGTCCTTAAAGAAAAGAAATTCCAACCAAGAATTTTATATTTTGCCAAACTTAGCTTCATAAGTGAAGGAGAAATAAAATCTTTTTTTGACAAGCAAATGTTGAGGGAGTACATTTCAACTAGACCAGCCTTACAAGAGGTCCTTAAGGAAGTGGCTAAACATGAAATCAAAAGAATGACACCTGCTATCATGAAGTCACACCTAAGCTCATAGCCCACAGGGACTATAAAGCAACTATGCAATCAAGTCTATATAACAACCAGCTAACAACATGAAGACAAAATCAAAAACATACTTATCCATACTAACTTTGAATGTAAATGAACGAAATGCCCCACTTAAAAGACAGAGTGGTAGGCTGAATAAAAATACAAGACCCAATCATTTATTGTCTTAAAGAAACCCAACTCACATGTAATAAAACCCACAGACTCAAAAGGAAGAATGGAGAGAGATCTACTGTGCAAACAGAAAACATTAAAGAACAGGAGTTGCTATTCTTTTGTCAGATAAAACAGACTTTAAACCAGTAAAAATTAAGAAAGACAAAGAAGGGCATTATATAATGATAAAGGGTACAATCCAACAAGAAACCTTAACTAACCTAAATATATATTGCACCCAAATTGGAGCATCCAGATTCATAAAGCAAGTTATTTTTGGCCTGTGAAAAGACTTAGATAACCACATAATAAGAGTAGGAGACTTAAGCACCCCATTGACAGAATTAGGTAGATGGTTAAAGGCAGAAAACTAACAAACTCTGGACTTAAACCTGACATTTCACCAATTGGATCTAATAGACATCCAGAGAACACTCCACCCAACACTCACAGAATATACACTCTTCTCATCTACACACTGAACGTATTCTAGGTTCAATTACATATTCAGTCATAAAGCAAGTATCAATAAATTTAAAAAATTATACCAAGCATGCTCTTGGACCACAGTGCAATAAAAATAGAAATCAATGTCAAGACAATGCCTCAAAACTACAGAAATACATGCAAATTCACAAGTTTCTCCTGAATAACTCCAAAGTGAACATTAAATTAAGGCAAAAATAAAAAATATTTGAAATTAATAAAAATAGGGACACAACTTACCAAAATCTCTGAGATGCAGCCAAAGTACGGTTAAGTGGAAAGTTTATAGCCCTAAATGCTTTCATCAAGAAGTTAGGAAGATCTCAAATTAACAATCTAACTTTTTACCCAACGTAACTAGGAAAGGAAAAAAAGAACAAGCCAACTCCAAAAACTAGCAGAAGAAGAGAAATAACTAAAATTAGAGAAGAACTTAATGAAATTGAGATGCAAAAATCTATATAAATATCAATGAAACCAATAGTTGATTCTTCAAAAAAATAAATAAGATTGATAGACCCTCTAGCTAAATCAGCAAAGAAAAAAAAAGAGAAGACCCAAATAAATACAATTAGCAATGACAAAGATAATATTACAACTGATCCCACGGAAATACAAAAGGTCCTCCAAGAATTCTATGAACAACCCTATGCACACAAATTGGTAAATCTAGAGGAAATGGAAACACACAGTCTCCCAAGATTGAATCAGGAAGAGACTGAAACTCTGAAAAAACCAATATCAAGCTCTGAAGTTGAATCAGTAATTTAAAAATTCTACCAACCAAATAAAGCTTTGGACCAGGTGGATTCATAGCCAAATTTTACCAGTCATACAAAGATGAATTGATACCAATTCACAGATATCTCCCACTCTACTGGTACCAATTGACTGTATTAGTCAGTTTTGGAATGGCTCCTGATGAAGCCATTCCAAAAAAAAAAAAAAAAATGAGAAGGAGGATCTCCTCCCTAACTCATTCTATGAAGCCAGTATCAACCTAATACCAAAATCAGGCAGAGAGACATAACAAAGAAAGAAAACTTCAGGCTAATATCCCCAGTGAACATACACACAAAAGTCCTCAACAAACTGCTATCAAATCAAACCCAGCAGCACATCAAAAAGTTAATTCACCATGATCAAGCAGGCTTTATTCCTGGGGTGCAAGATTGGTTCAACATACACAAATTAATAAATGTGATTCACTACATAAAGAGAATTAAAAGCAAAAACAATACGTTCATCTCAGTAGATTCAGGAAAAGCTCTTGATAAAATCCAACATACCTCAAAATAATAAGTGCCATCTGTGAAAAGTCCACAGCCAACATCATATTGAATGGGCAAAAGCTGAAACCACTCCCCTTGAGAATGAGAATAATGCATGGATGCCCACTCTTACCACTCCTTTTCAACATAGTACTGGAAATCCCAACCAGAGCAATCATAAAAGAGAAAGAAATAAAAGGCATCTGATATAGTTTGGCTGTGTCCTCACCCAAATCTCAACTTGAATTGTATCTCCCAGAGTTCCCACATGTTGTGGGAGAGACTCAGGTGGAGGTAATTGAATCATGGAGGCTGGTCTTTCCTATGCTATTCTTGTGATAGTGAATAGGTCTCAGAAGACCTCATGGGTTTATCAGGGGTTTCTGCTTTTGCTTCTTCCTCATTTCTCTTGCCACTGACATGTAAGAAGTACCTTTCACCTCCCACCATGATTCTGAGGCCTCCCCTGCCATGTGGAACTATAAGGCCAATTAAATATCTTTTTCTTCCCAGTCTCAGGTATGTCTTTATCAGCAGCATGAAAACTGACTAATACAGTCAATTGCTACCAGTAGAGTGGGGCATTGGTGAAAAGATATCCAAAAATGTGAACGCTACTTTGGAACTGGGTAGCAGGCAGAGGTTGGAACGATTTGGAGGGCTCAGAAGAAGACAGAAAAATGTGGGAAAATTTGGAAGCTCCTAGAGACTTGTTAAATGGCTTTGACAAAAATGCTTATAGTGATATGAACAATAAAGTCCAGGCTGAGGTGGTCTCAGATGGAGATGAGAAACTTGTTGAGAACTGGAGCAAAGGTGACTCTTGTTATGTTTTAGCAAAGAGACTAGCGGCATTTTGCCCTGGCTTAGAGATTTGTGGAACTTTAAACTTGAGAGAGTTGATTTAGGTATCTGGCGGAAGACATTTCTGAGCAGAAAAACATTCAAAATATCACTTGGGTGCTGTTAAAAGCATTCCATGTTAAAAGAGAAACAGAGCATAAAAGCTTAGAAAATTTGCAACCTGACGATGCAGTAGAAAAGAAAAACCCATGTTTTGAGGAGAAATTCAAGCCAGCCACAGAAATTTGCATAAGTAGCAAGGAGACTAATGTTAATCCCCAAGATCATGGGAAAAATGTCTCCAGGCCATGTCAGAGAACTTCACGGCAGCCCCTCCCATCACAGTCCCAAAGACCCAGGAGGAAAATGTGGTTTCGTGGGCTGAGCCCAGGGTCCCTGTGCTGTGTGCAAACCTAGGGACTTGGTGCCCTGTGTCGCAGCCACTCCAGCTGTGGCTGAAAGGGGCCAATATAGAGCTCAGGCTGTGGCTTCAGGGGGTGTAATTCCCAAACCTTGGCAGCTGTCACGTGGTGTTGAGCCTGTGGGTGCACAGAAGTCAAGAATTGAGGTTTGCTGCACATAAAATTAAAAAAAAAGAAAGGAAAAAAAAAAGAATTGAGGTTTGGGAACCTCTGCCTAGATTTCAGAAGATGTATGGAAACGCTTGGATGCCCAGGCAGAAGTTTGCTGCGGGCGCGATGCTCTCATGGAGAACCTCTTCTCAGGCAGTGTGGAAGGAAAATGTGGGGTCAGAGCCCCCACACAGAGTCCCTACTGGAGCACTGCCTAGTGGAGCTGTGAAAAGAGGGCCACTGTGCTCCAGACTCCAGCTTGCACCTGCACCTGGAAAAGCCACAGATACTCAATGCCAGCCCATGGAAGCAGCCAGGAGGGAGGCTGTACCCTGCAAAGCCATGAGGCAGAGCTGCCCAAGACCATGGGAACCCACCTCTTGCATCAGCATGACCTGGATATGAGACCTGGAGTCAAAAGAGATCATTTTGGAGCTTTAAATTTTGACTGCCCTGCGGGATTTTTGACTTGCATGGGCCCTGTAACCCCTTTGCTTTGGCCAGTTTCTCCCATTTGGAATGGCTGTATTTACTCAATACCTGTACCTCCTTGTATCTAGAAAGTAACTAGCTTGCTTTTGATTTTACAGGCTCATAGGTGGACGGGACTTGCCTTGTCTCAGATGAGAATTTGGTCTGTGGACCTTAGGTTAATGTTGAAATAAGTTAAGACTTTGGGGGACTGTTGGGAAGGCATGATTGGTTTTGAAATGTGAGGACATGAGACTTGGAGGGGGCGGGGTGGAATGATATGGTTTGGCTGTGTCCCCACCCAAATCTCAACTTGATTTGTATTTCCAAGAATTCCCTCGTGGTGTCGGAGGGACCCAGGGGAAGATAATTGAATCGTGGGGGGCAGTCCTTCCCATCCTTTTCTCGTGACAGTGAATAAGTCTCATGAAATCTGCTGGGTTTATCAGGTGTTTCTGCTTTTGCTTCTTCCTCATTTTTCGCTTGCTCCCACCATGTAAGAAGTGCCTTTTATCTTCCCCTATGATTCTGAGGCCTCCCCAGCTATATGGAACTGTAAGTCCAATTAAACCTCTTTTTCTTCCCAGTCTTCAGTATGTCTTTATCAGCAGCGTGAAAACGGACTAATACAGCATCCAACTAGGAAAAGAAGGAGTCAAACTATCTCTCTTTGGTGATAATGTGATTCTACACTTAGAAAATTCTTAAGACTCTGTCAAAAGGCTACGGGAACTGTTAAACAATTTTATTATAGTAAGGTTGCAGGATAAAAAAAATCAATGTACAAAAATCAGTAACATTTCTATACACCAATAACATTCAGGCTGAGAGCAAAATCAAGAACACAATCCCATTTACAGTAGCTACAAACAAAATGAAATATCTAGGAATACAACTAACCATGGAGGTGAAAGATCTCTACAATGAGAGTTACAAAGCACTGCTAAAAGAAATCTGAGATGACACAAATAAATAAAATAACATCCAATGCTCATTAATTGGAAGAATCAATATTAAAATGGCCCTACTGCCAAAGCAATTTACAGATTCAAAGCTATCACTGTCAAACTACCGACAACATTCTTCACATAATTAGAAAAAAACTATTTTAAAATTCATGTGGAACCAAAACAGAGGACAAATAGCCAAATAAATCCTAAGTGAAAAAAACAAAGCCAGAGGCATCATACTACCTGATTTCAAACTATACTATAAGGCTATAGTAACCAAACAGCACAGTACTGGTACAAAAACAGACAAATAGACCAATGGAACAGCATAGAATATTCAGAAATAAAGCTGTACACCAACAACAATCTGATCTTTGACAAGGCCAATAAAAACAAGAGATGGAGAAAATACTCCCTATTCAATAAATGGTGTTAAGATACCTGGCTAGCCATTATGCAGAAGAATGAAACAAGATGCTAACCTTTCACCATATACAAAAATTAACGCAAGATGGATTAAAGATTTAAATATGAGACCTCAAACTATAAAAATCCTGGAAGAAAATTCAGGAAATTCACTTCTCAACATTGGCTTAGCAAAGAATTTATGACCAAGCTCCCAAAAGCAACTGAAACAAAAAAAAAAAAATTGACAAGTGAGACAAGAGTTTTGCACAGCAAAAGAAACCATCAACAGAATAAACAGACAGCCTACACAATGGGGGAATATATTCACAAACTATACATCTGATAAAGGTCTAATATCCAGAATCTAAGAGAAACTGAAGTAAATCAACAAGTGAAAAATGACCTCATTACAAAGTGGGCAAAAGACATGAACAGACACTTTTCAAAAGAAGACAGACAAGTTGCTAACAAATATCTGAAAAAAAAATGCTCTTCACTAATCATCAGAGAAATGCAAAATGAGATACCATCTCACACCAATCAGAATAACTATTATTAAAAAGTCAAAACAATAGATGCTGGCAAGGTTGCAGAGAAAAGGGAACTCTTATACACTGTAGGAATGTAAATCAGTCCAACCACTGTGGAAACCCGTTTGGAGATTTCTCAAAGAGCTTAAACAGAGCTACCATTGGACCCAGCAATCCCATTACTGGGTATATATCCAAAAGAAAGTAAATCATTAAACCAAAAAGTCACATGCACACGTATGTTCATCACAGCTCTATTCACAATAGCAAAGACATGGAATCAACCTAGGTGCCTATCAATGGTGGATTAGATAAAAAAAATGTGGTACATATATACCATAGAATACTATGCAGCCATAAGCAAGAATAAAATCATGTCCTTTACAGTAACATGGATGGAGCTGGAGGCCATAACCCTAAATAAATTAATGAAGGAGCAGAAAACCAATTACCACATGTTTCACTTATAAGTGGGAGCTAATCATTGAGCACCCATGGACATAAACATGGGAACAACAGACACTGCTGACTACTGCGCAAGGAGTGTGGGTTGATAGACTACCTATTGGGTACTAGGCACACTACCTAGGTCCAATATACCCATGTGACAATTCTAAACATGTACCTCCTGTGTCTAAAATAAATGCTGATATTAAATAAATCAGCAAATTTCATAATATTGATAACAGCATGATGATAATAATGCAGAAAATGTCCTTCTTAAGAGATTACACACACACGCACACATATACACAGAGGTATAGAGGGAAAAATGTAGATAAATAGATGGATAAGTAGATTGATATGGTTTGGCCATGTCCCCATCCAAATCTCATCTTGAATTGTAGTTCCCATGATCCCCTCATGTCATGGTAAGGACCTGGTGAAAGGTAATTGAATCATGGGGGCAGTTACCCCCATGCTGCTATTCTTGTGATAGTGAGTGAATTCTCAAGGTCTGATGGTTTTATAAGTGGGTTTTCCCCCTTTGTTCAGCACTTCTCCTTCCTGCATCATGTTAAGAATGACATGTTTGCTTCCTCTTCTGCCCTGATTGTAAGTTTCCTGAGGCTTCCCCCAGCCATGTGGAACTGTGAGTCAATTACGCCTCTTTTCTTTATAAATTACCCAGTCTTGGGCAGTTATAGCAGTGTGAGAACAAACTAATACATGTATGATAGCTTGGTAGGTAGATAATCTTACCTATATCTTTATCGAATCTGTATCTTTTCTTTTACTAATCCAGGCTGTAACTCAGGGCCATGCCTTTCATGCAGTCTCCTCTAATTGGGAACAGTTTCTCCTCTTTTCTTTCTCTTTCATGATTTTGACACTTTTGAAGAGTCGAACTATGTGTTTTTGTTTTTATAGACTATTCCTCAATTTGTATTTGTCTCATGATTACACCCAGGCAATGCATTTCTAGTAGCACTACTGTAGAAGTGATTATCTGCCCTACTCAGAAAATCCCACCAGGAGGCACATAGTGCCTATTTATTTTCTTGTTGGTGAAGTTTACATCTGTCACTTGGCAAACATGGATTTTCCAGGCTTCTCCACTGTAAAGAAAACTTGGTTCATCATTCTCAATTTACTATTTCCAAATTTCTTCAAACAACCTTCATAGTGATATCTGACATGTTCCTCTGTTCATAGAAGCCATCACCTTTTGCGTTTTATACACTTACACAAAAGAACCATTTGCATTATATTGGTGACCTTAAAACTCAATCAGTCTTGGTGAAATCTTTTTTTGAGAGTCTGTATTTGTTTCTGCCACATTAAAAATAATTTTCATTATATCTGCATATAACAGTGCAACACAGAGGCTGGGCATCTTAATCATGTGGGTGGGCCCCTTGCAGAGGCTCAGTGTGTTTAAAAACATACTCTTCTATTTAAGGGTTGTGTTGGGCAAACACCAAGTAACTTTCACAGCTTTGAGGTAGTAACTTTGATTCATGGGCCTCTCAAAGCTTCTATGATTTGCATTACTATAGTTAGAAGGTTTTATTAAAAGTTATACATTATAATAACCCAGATTTAAGAAAAACGAATATGGGTTTTAATACATTAATGTTCTAGCTACACAGCTAATTAAACATTCAGAAAATCAAAAATACTAAGATTAAGATTTGAATGTTTCAAATGATTTTTAAGACTGAAAAATAACATGTTTGGTTATTAATGTGGCTACCAAACTGATTTCCTTTGCTTTAGCTGCACACCTCAGAGAGCAATGACGAGGAAGCCAGGATCCAGGGACTTTCATTTGGGGAGATATCTTCAGGCACGCAGGTCATCAGATCTATTTTAACAATAGGATTTCCCCATACGATGATGGACATATGATGGATTACATGTGAAATAAATAAATGAGTAAGTGAAGAAAAGAGGAGAAAGAGTGGATGTCCTAAATCTAAGCAGAGCAATAGGATTAGCAGTATGGACACAGCCTTCAGGAGGAGTGAGGCAATATGACAGGCCCACCTGTGATGGAAAATGCCAGGCACCTTGCAAAACTCGTGAATTAAGAGAATTCTCAAGCTTGACACATTAGAGGTGAAATAGGAAATCATTCAGGCTTTCTTTCCCTTGATGGATGGAGCCTAGTAGTACATTCTGGCTTTGAAAACAAATATACCCAGAAGAATGAAAGGGAGGTAACTGCCGGAAGAGAGTAAATTCAGAAGCCACTGTTCTCCCAATTATCTTTGGAAGAGATAAAGATTTATGGAAAGATGTTTATTCAGGAAGATCAATGGTTTCCTGTCCAGTTCTGGGTACCCAGCAGAAAATTTTCATTTTTTATGGTGAGTGGAGAACACCAATTTATCTTTCTTTTCAGAGGCTACAGTTGACTGGGGGTGCGGAGAGTGAGCACACCTAACTTGGTCTCCTCCATCACTATCTTCCTGGAAATGGTTCAATAAATTTACCTTAGGAAAATATCCAGCAGTGCATTTGCTTCCTACAAGAAGTTTTGATGGCCCTCCTGTAGGACTTGGGCTGGCAGAACAGATTTGGACAGAAAGGACGGTGAGGGGGAAGGAAAGCTACTGAGTAACAGCCACAGCCCACAATTGCTCCTCAGGCTGAGATCTGTGGAGCAAAGTCACTGTGCAGCAAAAGGTAATGTGAGCGCCCAGAGCACTCAGCAACAGCCAGGGGACCAAAGCGTCAAACCGGAGCTGAGTTGTGAGACAGAGGGAGGATGAAGTATGGTTCTTCCTTTTGCTTTCATTGGCCAGGCATATATTAAGTGGCATTTATCCCAAGAGCTCTGCTCATTCCCAAAACACCCATTCCATTCCCTACAGCCCACGGTGGTCCAACACAAGTTTAGGTAGCAATTCTCACTGTGGGTCCGGCAGGAGGCAGAGACTTTTGGCAAGAAAAGATGGTAGCAAATAGAAGAGATTTTTCAGCAAAATGCTTTCTGATGTTTGTAGAGATTCTATCTCCCCAGGGAGCCTGCCCCACTTCCCCATTCCTGTCTATCCATCTGCCTTAACAATCTGTTCCTCAGAGACTCCACGGCTCTGTAAAAGCTGACCTGGGTAACCATAGCCATCCCCATGTAAGTGATCTGCTTCTAACCCAATTTTCCATCTGAGTTAACAAGACGAAGTGAGTTGAAGCAATTGGACTTTGATTCCCAGTGAGCCTGTAACAGAGCCTACATTTAGAAAAGAACTCATCTTTCTCCTCCCCAAGCTGTTCATGACAGCCACTATGTCCCTGAGCCTTTGAGCTGCACTTAGATATGGTCTCAATTAATATTTACTTAAGCACCAGATGGACATTTTCCAGCCCATACCAGCGGGCAGATCATGCGGAAGAGTTCCTCACCCCTCCTAAGTCAGGCACCATTAATCCTTCAATAATCAGTCAATCAAGCAATCGATCTACTTTTGCCAATTAATAAAAGAAAACTTCTAAAGGCATGCATGCTTCCCCCCCGCAATCACTCATTTTAGCATTCCTATCACCGTGGACCATCTGACAGCTTGTAATTTTTTTTTTAAGCAAAGCTTGAAGAGGAAGACATTAGAACCTTCTGAGAAACTTTCTTACTCATTGCCTGAGATAGGTTATGTTCTTGCCTCTTATTCTGTTCTTTCTTTTAAAAAGTTCATTTCCTTTTTTAAAAGCAGCAAAACTATCTATAATCTGATGCATTAAAATAGCTTTCCCGTTACTAATGAAACCAATTTTTAGAACTAGCATTCAATTTGGCAGTTTTAATTATGGACATATTTCCAAATCTGATGAGAGTACCCAAGATATATTGGACTGTGGCTTTATGTTTTATTCCAGGAAGAAAAAAATTCTACCCTCAGTTGCCCAGATCGCTTGCTTAGCATTATGACAATCACAAGCACTGGATTGGTGAAGGACATGGATAAGTCAGACAGATGGGGAGGCAGAGAATGACAAAGGCATGGCTTCAGACAAGCAGTGACTGAGGACAGCAGGGTGGGGGTGCTGAGCGTTCTGTAGGGAGGAAAGAATGGGAAATAAGCCTGAGCCTCAGGGAGGCTGGGAACCAGAGGTAGGGGTGGCTCTGTGGAGGATTTGTTTTAAACAATCCCTCCCAATCCATCTCTGAGTGTGGTGACATTAGCAGAAATAGAGAGCATGTGGCATTTGAGGAACATTTCAGTTTCTTCTGCCTGCTTAGACCACACTGTGCAACAGAGAATTTATTAGCTCACAAAACATAATTTATTGGGGCATAATATACTGTATTAGGCCATTCTTGCATTGCTATAAAGTAATACCTCAGACTGGGTAATTTATAAGTAGAAAGGTTTAATTGGCTTACCATTCTGCAGGCGATCCAGGAAGCAAAATGGCATCTGCTTCTGAGGGGGCCTCAGGGTGCTTCCAATCATGGTGGAAGGCAAAGGGAGAGCAAGCACATCACATGGCAAAAGCAGGAGCAGAGAGAGCATGGAGGGGGAGGTGCCACACACTTTCAAATGACTAGACCTCATGAGAGCTCACTCACTGCAGTGAAGACAGCACCAAGCTATGAGGGATCCATGTCCATGACTCAAACACCTTCCATCAGGCCCCACCTCCAGCATTGGCCCCACCTCCAGCATAATATCCAAACCATATTATATTTGAATCCAGTTTTCCATGTATGAGTAGATCTGCTTTTAGGAAATGCCCAACCTGAGGAGCTGTGTACAGGAAACAAGAAATGCAAAGCACTGAGCCCAATGCCCTGCATGGAGCAGAGGCTTAATATATATTTCTTAAATGAATAAAATGATAAATGGATGAATGGATATAAGTTTATTCCCTTTCCACATTCTGATTTCTGCAAGGTCTATGATTTGGAGACCAACTGAGGATCCTAAGTGATCTTATTTATCTGGGTAATCACTCCAGGGCTGAAAGTAGGTCTGAAATATCAGCCTCACCCAGCCAAGTACTAACTTACAGCAAACTAGTGGGAAATAAAAAGCAGAGATAATAACTAACATTGGTTCAGAGTGCACTGTCTGTCTGATGCATTTCCAAATGCATACATGTACTAACCTGTAATCATCACAATGATCCTATTAATATAATAGAGACACAATTTTTAATTCCACTAACAGATGAGAAAAATGAAGCTCAGAAAAATTAAATAACTTGCTCAAAGACATTCTGCTTGTAAAGAGCAGAGCCAGGAGTTGAACCCAGGCGGTTTGGCTCAAAGCCTGAATTCCTAACTTCTGTGAAGCTCTGCTTCTCCCGGCAGGATGAGCTCCTGAGAATCCATTAACTGGAGGATGTGGGACTGACCCCAGTGATAAAAACTGCAGTCCAAATACTATAATCAAATGAAAGCTGGTCTTGAGGAAGAAAATGAACATGATCATCCCCAGGCAATGGATGTCACTAGTAAAAGGAGGTGGTTTTTGGCAAAGGTGGTTCATTCAGTTTAGCAGAAAATCCCTGCCTGAGACTGTATTTGAGGAGACAAGGACTTCCCCTAGTGAGAGCAATGTGGTAGTGACTAGGAAGGATGTTAGGACATCAGAAAACTGAGGAGAGCAAGAGAACAAAGCAGTAAGTGAGATAAGAGGACAAATTGCACTGTGGACATGTGGTGGGGATTAGTGAAAGTCTACAATCTATCAATAATAAATTATGATTAAGGGTTAGGGTAGCAAGGCTAATCTAGTCTCTTTCTGCAAATGGCCTGGCTTGCTGAAATGTAGCCAGGTTTTCTCAGGGTCTGGATGGCCTGACTGAGAAAGTTCCAGGCCTTAAGGACTCGGAGAATGATTGCTGAGGTCAGAAGCCAACACAAGTATGCAAAGGTAGGCACAAAAGCTAACCATCTAGGCCGGGCGCAGTGGCTAACACCTGTAATCCCAGCACTTTGGGAAGCTGAGGTGGGCGGATCACTAGGTCAGGAGATTGAGACCATCCTAGCTAACATGGTGAAATGCCGTCTCTACTAAAAATACAAAAAAAATTAGCCAGGCATGGTGGCGGGTGACCGTAGTCCCAGCTACTTGGGAGGCTGAGGCAGGAGAATGGTGTGAACCCAGGAGGTGGAGCTTGCAGTGAGCCAAGATCGTGACACTGCACTCCAGCCTGGGTGACAGAGCAAGATTTCATCTCAAAAAAAAAAAAAAAACAGCTAACCATCTGTTCCAGGGAGGAGCAAACAGGTGGCAGGCAAGTGGTCCTAGCAAGAGGCTGAGATGGAATCCAGTATCCAGAATAGCCATTCAAATAGACGATGAGCAGACAATTAACAGATGGGTGGCATCGGGTGTCCAGAGTACTGCAGGTGGGCAGTTGAATAGTATCTGTTGATAACCAGAGGTATAGATGGAAATACAGCTGAGAAATGGTGACTATGGTCCACCTGAGGTCTAGACAACTCGCTGATGAGGTCAGACACCAGCAGAGGCACAGGTGACTAGAAGAACATCATATCACAGGATGACTGGCATTCAGATAGTACTGTGGGATCCCAACATGTACAGGTATGCTTTGCTGTCCAAATTCTCCACAATCCAAACTTTTCCAAACTTGAGTATTGGAAAGCATTGTAGAGGTAGTGATTTTTGTATCAGGAAGCCAGTCTAATGGAGATGGGGCTCCATGGAGTAGATTATCCTGAAGCTGGAAGGACTGGAGAAAACCTTGGTGCCAGGCTAGTACATATAATGCCACAAATTAAGTGCTACATGGCCTTTTCTTGTAGGATCTCAGCCCTAAGGGCAGGTCAAACAGGCTGTAATGTCCTGATCCACTGGTTGGAGTCGATATTTCAGCTCCTAGTTCCCTGCCCA
Source organism: Homo sapiens (assembly GCF_000001405.40). Classification (NCBI taxonomy): domain Eukaryota; kingdom Metazoa; phylum Chordata; class Mammalia; order Primates; family Hominidae; genus Homo; species Homo sapiens. Next base: position 85,228,331 of record NC_000010.11, read on the forward strand.
GTTGCTCTCCATACCACAAGAGGCCCCACACAGCAAGGGATGAGCCCAGCCTGCTGAAAAGTAATTATACGCCAGGCCCAACAGGCTCCTATAGAGGCCCCACCTAATGGTTTCAGGCCACAAGGCACTCTGTCCAATGTAGGGCTCTGAGAAATCCTGGTATGTGAAAATGACCAATCCAAGCCTTCAGGCCCCTAAAGGAATTTTCTGGCCTTCTCATTTTGCCATACTTAACAATAAAAGGAATCAAATCAGGAACCTACCCCACCACTGCACCCCATGTACATACACATTTATGCTCTTGGAAATATGACTTCTGTTCCACAGTTGGCATGCATTTCCCTTCTATGAACACTTCCTTCTCTTGTTCTACCTAGCCTCAGCTAACGTTTCCTTCCAAGTATGGTTAGGCCAACCTTGTTCCCTTCTTCCATTAAGCCAGCCTCTTCCTGTACTGCGCTCACTCCTCAGCCTTCATTTAACCTCTAGAGTAGATTGTAGACAACTTTGCAGAATCCTGCAGCCCTGTGAAAAATGACAGAGCAAACAAAACAAGGGCTGAGCACAGTGAGCCAACAGCCTTTTGCTGACTGTGGTTTCACATGGCTCAGCCAAGTCTTAGTCCTGCTCAGGCTCTTTGGCTCCTCTTGGTCCCATGGTCACAGGGCACCCTTTCACTCTCTCTAGTTTCTTCTGGCTCCTCACATGGGTCACACACCCTCTTCCTACAGGGATTTGGCACTTGCTGCCTGAAATAATCTTCCCTCTCCTCTTTGCTAGATACCACTTACACATCCTTTAGATAAAAACTCTATTATCAATTCCTTAGGAAGCCTTCTCTGACCTCTTGATTAGGCAAATGCTCATTCTCAGAGTACCATGGCATGCATTTTGGATAGCTATATTCATATAACAATTTGTGTGGCTGTTAGATTAGTATCTAACTCCTTTCCTGGGCTATAACTTCTCTGATTTCATTTACTTTGGTACTCAGCACTGAACATGATACTTCCTAGATGTCCAATGAATATATGGTAAATGAATGAATAAATGAATGCCTTTGGTGAAAACACTAACAGCCCCAGGCTGAGCCTATATTTCCCTATATGCAGAATAGGAATAATGAAAGTAAACTGCCAGGGTTTTTGTGGTAGATTGGATCATACAGCATCTATAAATGGCCTTGCATGTTGTCTGGCACAGGTTCTGTCACCCCTTACCTTCAATTTATTTTGTTCTCTATTTCCCAGTGCCCAAGTGTGGCAAGGTCTCTCTCTCCCTGCCTAGGGCTTTAATCTGAAGTTAGCCCTGCAGGAGAGAGATGCATAATGCTAAGAATATCGACCTTATGTCAAATCCACATGCAGAGAGGCCATGGAGCACCTTATCTCTCTTAAGCCTCTCTTTTCTCACCAGTAATGTTAGGATTTTAATAACGCATAGCTCATAAGGTTGTTATTGGTAATACACTGAAAAGTACTTAGCACAGTACCTGATGTGATATTCAGGAATCAATAGTTGTTGTTATTATTTTTGTCTGTATCACAGGGACCCAGTTAGATGTTCATGAAAAAAAGAATATATGAAGACTGGCCCAGAGTTTGCCACATCCTAAATATTCTATTAGAATCCTGTGTAGTTAAACCAGCCAGAGGGCTATCCTGCTGACCAGGGGAAAGGTCCTGCAAAGCCAGGGGAGCATCACTACACTATTTTGGTTGGAGGGTTTCCTTTTGTAAGTTGGCTTCTCAGCCTTGTCAATTCAGCAAAATGCATTTTGCTGAAATTTGAAAATGCTCACTTGATCATATTTCCACTTATTCTTTCTGAATACAGCTCTCGTTGAATCCTGCTAAGATTGGCAGTTCCATTTTTCAGTTCTCAAAGGACATCTTAAAGGATAAAGGAAAATTCTATCCACTGTAGCTGGCTGTGTATCACTGCAAAAGAGTTTGTATGAGACTAGCTTGAGCTCTAGGTAGACAGGAAAAGAAACTGCAGAGGATGAGCCAAATAGATGAACCAAAAAAGCCAAGAAAGAGAGAAACAGAAAAAGAAAGAAGGAAGGAAGAAAGGAAGGAAGAAAAGAAAGGAAGAGAAGAAAGAAAGAGAGAGAGAGAGAAAGGAAGGAAGGAAAGAAGGAAGGAAGAAAAAGAAAGAAAGAAAGAGAAAAAAGAGAGAAAGAGAGAGAAAGAAAGAAAGAAAGAAAGAAAAAGAAAAAAGAAAAGACATGAAGACATTTTGTCATCAAACACAGACTGTGTCTGATTTCTTGAATAGAGGCAGGTTGACATTAACAGGGCCAGGGGGAATTAGGGAGGACCCCAGCGAAAATCAACATGCTTCCAAGAAGTTTTTTCAAGTAGAATATTGCAAAGATGAGGCTAAGACTCCATTCAGGAAGCAACTTCTTATCCTTGAGCAGAGGGTCTGCTGAGTCAGCCTGCAAGTGAATCTTATCCTTATACATCCTGCCAGAACAAGGAGAAATGCTTAAAGAAACTCCAACAGAAATATAGGATAGAGCAGGGAGACGCCTTGTGGGTCATGGGAAATATCTTGGAAAGACTCCTATCAATAGCCCTACCCTCCACGTGGATTTAACTTCAGGAGATCTCTACAGGTCTAGAATTAGAATTAGGACAATTAATGACTCTCATTATAGCAGTACATGTTTAAGTTCTGGCTTACCCCACTGGAAATGGAACTTATTTAGCCTCTGTCTTATGTGGGTGAATAGTAACCTGCTCTGCAAGGCTGCTGGTACATGTTACTCCAGCTCAGACACAGTGGCTAACAAAGACTTCAATGGTTCTTCAGTATTACCTGGGTCAAAGAGGAATATTTTAGAGCAACTGAACCATACACTATAGAATGAATGCTAGGCAATTATATGTGGTTATTTTTGGTGCATACATACATACTCTCATCAAGCTGTAATTAATATACTTCAGGATTTGTATTATCTCTAATCATTCCCTCAACACCAAATTAAAGAGCTGCTTGATGTCTTTGGTCAGATATCTCCCTTGTTCACTCAATTTTCAATTTTTATTTTTGCAGATTGGAAAGATGATGTAGCCTTTGAGGGCACAGAGACCAGAGCTGAGATCCTGGGTGTGCCATTTACTAAGTGTATAGCCTCAGGCAAATTGTTAAACTTTCTAAATTCATTTCCTCCACCAGAGAGCCAGAATAATAATACTCACCCCCATAGGATTAGTATAAGGATCAAATGAATTCATGGAGGTAAAACATTTTACACCATGACTGGCAAGAGTGAGACAAAGCCAATGTTAATTCTCTTTCTTTTCTCTTTCCATATTCTAGTGTACATTGGACTAATTTCATGTTTACTTCACAGTTTTATGCAAACTACAGAGAACTTTTCAACTTGCCCTTTCAGAAAGTTTGGACTTTAATCCAGAATCTTCATCAACCATGTACAAAGCTCTAGCTACTGCTGTTTCTAATCTGCTACTCTCTAGACCGGTGCACTGCTTGAACTTTAGGAAGTCTCTTCTTCCCTAATTCTAAATTGATCACTGGGAATAAATTTGGCTTCTCTTTTTCTATCTGGCTCATGTGGGGAGGAGGAATTCTGAGATTATCATGACTTTTCATGGCAGGAAAATCACTTCCAAATTAAGTGTCCATTTAAAATATGCCCTAAGTTGACAAAGTCATTGATTTTGTTATCATTCCAAACATGGTTCCAGGTAATATAGTCAATTCTTGCACTGTCATAGTGGCATGGACAAAGCAAGAAGTAGCTTCCATTTACACTGTTTTTGGATCCGAACCCTCCTGTGCTTGGAGCTGAGAAGAGAGTCCATATGCTTGGACTGCAGTGGCGAGGGCTTTGGAAATCATGTCTTGCAGTTGGCAGGGGAGTGGGGCCCTGGGCTGGTCAGGGAAGAGTGTTAATATAATTGAAAGTAATTATGTTGACAAAAAGGGGAATTGTAAGGGCACCTCATAATTACAAACAGATGCGTTTGGATAATAGCAACCAGTCTTTCAGGGGCCCAGCAGACGGATGATTCGGCAGGGACTCATATCCCCAGTGGGGCAGAAATGCCTTGACACCTCTGATAACCCAAATATGGCAAGTCAGACTGATGGAGTTATTTGCAGAGAAAATGGCACACAAAGAAATCAGATGAGGAGGTCAGTATGGTAGGAAAAGCTTAGGTTTTAGAGCCAGATAGACTGATTTAATTCCAGATATACCACTTAATAGCTGTATGCCTTCATATTAACTATTCAAGCAAACTGTGTCTCTTTCTTTATCTCTAAACTCCTGAGACAATATCTGTTATACATTTTGAAGTTATTAGTAGAACTTAGGAAATATATGTAAACTGTCCAGCAGATAAAATACACACAATAGATGCTAGTGCAACTTGAACTCAGTGTTTGCACAGCCTCTTAACTGATCTCCTTGCTACCATTTTGACCCCAGGATCAGCTGTTCTCCAGCAAATTCTTTTATAACATAAGTCAGAACACACAACTGCTCAAAAATTGCTAACAGTGTCCCACCACACTTTGACTAAAATCCAGGATCCTTAGCCTGTAAGATCTGGGATCAGGTCTTACAGCTCTCAGACCTCCTCTTCTCACACTTTCCTCCTTTCTAGTGCCCTTTATCCAAGATGATATCTTGGTTATTTCAGCATGTCAGACTTTTTCCACCAGATGTTTGCGTGCCTGGTTACTTGTCACCACTCATGTCCCAGCTTATATATCACAACTCAGAAGAGGCCTTCCTTGACTGCTATCTTGGTTTGCACTTCCTAGAAAAACTGCCTGAGGGATGGGTTTGGGAAGACATGATTTATTGAGAGTGTACACTTAGGAAAAATCTGTAAAGGAATGAGGAAAGCAGGGAGGGGAAGAGGAAAAAAGAGCAAGGATTTGGTCTTAGATGTGGTCTTAGGTAATGTCTAACTTTGGACAGACCTGTGGATGGGGGTGGTGAGCGGATCTGGAGCATAAATCACACCTCACAGGTGGCCTGCCTTGAAGGAAGGGGTCAGGCTTTCATAAACAGCATCAATCAGTCATTGGCTGCCCTGCAGGTATCTTCTATCACCTGAGGATAATTCTCCTGAAAAGACTGTCAGTTTAAGCCACTGGCCATAGACTTATCCTCCAGTAGCTGGAGGAGGAGTGCACCAACTTGTAATGAGGATCTTGTGGGGCATCTGCTCACCTGCACAACCATCTGGCCCAATTTTTCCATCTATGGACTCTATTCCATAAATCTATTTCAACTTTTTGGTTGACATTTATCCTCGCTTAATATTTTTCTTGCTAATTATTTGTTGATTTTCTGTCTCTGTGACTACAGTATACGATCTTGATAGCAGGGACCTTGTCTGTTTTGTTCATGGGTATATATCCAGACTCTAGAACAAACACTGGTTCAAGGAGTGAATGTGGATTGCCACGCACCTTCTCATTCTGAAATGGAAAAAAAAACAGTTTATGTTCAGACAAAGAATATTGAAACTAAAATGAAGACAAGGACCATTCAGACCTTGTCATGGTCACCTGCTCCCCCAAGTTCCTCTGTTTCCTTTGTTATTTTTATGTTTCATCAGTGAAAAATCAGCTGACTTTTTTAAGCATTCCAAAGAATCTTGCTTATAAACTCTGTTTTCTAAAACAACGATATCTGCCACCAGGGAGGCAAAGTCATCTTTCAGCATTTACCCTGAAATATTTACAGAACAGATTTGAAGGAATGGAAGGGAAAAGCTATTTCCAGAAGCTTATTTCCCTCACTTATTTAATACGACTTTCCCCCAAAGATATTTCCCAACCAGTTAATTGCTAAAGGGACCAGATTTTAAGAAAAACATATTTTCTACAGATGAAGTTATTCCCTTCCTTCCCCAGATCTTTCATGTGTATCAAAGCACAATATGTTTTTTGTGTTACTATTGTCTCCTGCTCCCTCCTTTTCTTTAGGGAAAGGAGATTATGGCCAAATAGCAATATGTTAGAAGATAAATATAATAATGAGATGTATGCCTCTGCTTCATACTGTGTCTACACAAACCATATATGCACATGCCTTGTTGAAATATAAGGGAGGCCAACAGTTTTTGTAGCAGCCTTTCTGAAAGTTCCAGCTTTTCATGAATCTTCTGGTCATCAAAAATTCCAAAGATTGAGACATTCTGAATTATTTAAATAAGGAGCCAGAGGCATGAGCAAAATAAGTTGCATCTAGGAATTGATAAGAAGACAGTCCAGAGGCCTGTGCCATTATAATGTAAAATAATAATATGCTATTTGATGTATTTACGAAGCACCAAGCACTGGGCTATGTGATTTCAAACATTACCTCATGGGATCCTTCGAAAATGCTGTGAGATGCACAATAAGTTTTACAGATAAGGAAACTGGTAGACACAGAGGATATGCACTAACCACAGATAGTTTAGTGGCCATTTGTTGTTTTTCCTCTCCAGCATCCATTTACCATTCTTTTGGCCATGACACTCTGATTTGTCTTGGGAATCCCTTTCCTGGACTTTAAGTACATGTATTTCCATTACCTAGGTCTGGATAATCAGATTGTTTCATTGTCTTGGCCGCCTTATGGGTTTGGGGATGGACACACGGCCTAAGCCAGGCAAGTGAGATTAACCTCCTGGATTTTCCTGGAAATATTGGGAAAGAAATTACCTGTTTCTCTTGGGATTTCTCAGGCAAGTGAAATTAAGCTTCTGGATTTTCCTGGAAATGTTGGGAAAGAAATTATCTGTTTCTCTTGGGATTTCTCAGGCAAGATAAGTATAGCTAATTGTGATGAACTTGCCACCTCTAGGGGAGGAAGAAGTTGGTGACAAAAAACTGACATTAAGGAAAATAGAGACATGAGATAGAGATGTAGTCTTAAGGTCCTAGTTGAGCACCTATATTCCACTAGTGCTGAAGTTGTTTTGTACCATGGGATTTCGGGGGGAACAAATACATTTCCTTTATTCTTTAAGACAGTTTAAAGTAGAATTCTCTCTCTAGTAATTGGATGAGTCTTAATATAGAATTAAATAAGTAATGGTGACCTTGAATATTAACTGAAGCATGGCTGGCCCTCCTCCTCACAATGTTTGTGTACATAGCTGGAGAGCAGTCACATTCCAAGCATCAAGCAAAGGGGAAGAAATTGAATGTTTAATCTGCTTTTTCTTCTGTGCTGTTAGCTATTTTAAAAATCACTCTTATCCAACTGGCCACAGAACTAACCTAGAAGAGGACGAATGAGAACCAGAATTACAGATTGAAACAATAAAGGAATATAGGCTTAGAATTAAACAGTACTTGGTTGAAATTTAAGCCCCGACACTACCCATCAAGTGACTTTGGAGGATTGCCAAACCTCTCCACTCCAGTTTTCTTGTCAGTAAAATGTGTTAATAAAACCTACCTGGTAGGGCTATTAAGAGAAATACATAACAGCATGCATAGTGCATTCGATCCCAACCCCAAGTAAGTCGCTATCTGATTATGACTGTTGAAGTTCACACATACTGGCATAGAGAAGTGTTTAGGAGTTTTTCCTCCATGAGTGCCTGCAAATATTACTTTCTGGTTTTAGGGTAGGTAAATGAGGTAAGTTGGGCTCATTCTCTAAGGGCTTGAAGAACTAGTTATATGAATACCTTATAGACTGTTAGAAGGAGGGCATGTGTCTAAATGAAACCAACCCAATTGTTAGGGAATTTCATTTTAAATAACTGATTATGTCTTTGACATCTTGTCAAATAACTAATTTGACTGATTTTCCTCTTCCCTCTGAATAAAGGCTACCTGGATTGATTAAGCCAATGAAGTTTCTTGACAATGTGTAATAATACCAGGGACATCATTCATCTCCATGATAGCCACTTGTCAGCAAGTAGAGCATGCACCCTGTACAGGAACCAGGTGTGTACAAGGCCATCTACATGCTGTAGAGTCCCTTAAAGCCAGTGGCTTATGGTAATAAAAAATCTAGTTAGAGTTAGGGCATAAATAATGACTTTAAAAGAAGTCTGGACAGATTTTTCTCCTGAAGAAAGAGGTCATGCCTTTATCGTCTTCTTGCTACATGCAGCCTATTGGGACAGTCACAGGGCCATGTAAGGTGTAATGAGGAATAAAACTGCAAGAAAATGGAAGGAGACCCATTCTTGGCTGTGGTTATTAGAGTCCATTTATTCAATGTGCATTTATTGAGTGCCCACTAGGTGCTAGGAAGTGTTCAAGGTGCTAGGATACCTATAAAAACCCTCTTTCTTGTGGAGCTTAAAATCAATTAGGAGGATACAGATAAAAATAAGTAAATTTTCTAGTATAGTATGTTGGAAAATGGTTTAAGTACTGTGAAAAAAAAAACAATAAAGCAAGGAAGGAGAATAAGAATGATTGATGCCAGAGGGCAGGAGGTATAAGGATTGTAACTAAAAAGCAGGTACTCCTGGCTGGGCATGGTGGCTCACGCCTATAATCCTAGCCCTTTGGGAGGCTGAAGCAGGAGGCCAGGAGTTCAAGACCAGCATGGACAATTTAGTCAGACTCTGTCTTTACAAAAAATTTAAAAATTAGCCAAGCGTGATGGTATGAGCCTACAGTTCCAGTGACTTGGGAGGCTGATGTTGGAGGATTGCTTGACCCTGGGAGGTCAAGGTTGCAGTGAGCTATGATTGCTCCACTGCACTCCATCCTGGTCACAGAATAAGACTTCATCTCAAAAAGAAAAATTTAAAAAGCACTTCTGAAGGCCTCAATAAAAACATGATGTTTGAGGCCAGGAGCGATGGCTCACACCTCTAATCCCAGCACTTTGGGAGGCCAAGGCAGGCAGAGCTCTTTCTTTTTTTTTTTTTTTTGAGATGGAGTCTCCCTCTGTGTCCCAGGCTGGAGGGCAGAGCGCAATCTCGGCTCACTGCAAGCTCCGCCTCCCGGGTTCACGCCATTCTCCTGCCTCAGCCTCCCCAGCAGCTGGGACTACAGGCACATGCCGCCACACCCGGCTAATTTTTGTATTTTTAGTAGAGATGGGGTTTCTCTGTGTTAGCCAGGATGGTATTGATCTCCTGACCTCATGATCCACCTGCCTCGGCCTTCCAAAGTGCTGGGATTACAGGCGTGAGCCACCGCGCCAGGCCAGGCAGATCTCTTGAGGTCAGGAATTTGAGACCACCCTGGCCAATATGGTGAAATCCTGTCTCTACTGAAAACACAAAAAATTAGCTGGGCATAGTGGCATGTCCCTGCTACTCAGGAGGCTGAGGCAAGAGAATTGCTTAAACTCGGGAGGTGGAGGTTGCACTGAGCCCACTGCACTCCAGCCTGGGCAACAGAGCAGGATTTCTTCAAAAAAAAAAAAAAAAAAAAAAAGGAAATGAAGAAAACCATGTGGGTTTTTGGGAGAAGAGGGTTCCAGAGGTGTGCCTTCCCTGTGTGAGGACAGCAAAGAGTAATGATGGGAAGGGGTAGGAAAAAAAAGTCAGAGAATGGGCAGAGGCAAGATGGGATGGCATGGGCTGGGGGGCTGGAGTGCCAAAAGCCTCTCCTTCCAGAGAGAGGACACGCCACCAGAAGTTCCTGAGCAGCCGTCACTTGTGTTTGGAGCGTCCCCCTGCTGCTGCTGCTGCTGCTCTGAGACAGACTCTGGAGGTACACAGGGAGGGGGCGGGATATGAGCATACAGACCCAGTGCCCCGTTATGGCAACGTAGGTGACCAAGGACAGTGAGAAATAGCCAGCTTATGGGATAACGTCACAGATTGTGCTCGGGCTTCACATAATGGACTAGGGTAAAGTAAGCAGCAATCTAAAGACCTGAGCAACATGGACAGGCTCTCAGGTCAAGGAAGGTGAGGCAGTTTAGCAAGGTGCCACGTTGGGATCATAGACAGGGCTACAAATCTGCGGCTGGGAAGATAATTTCCTCAGCCTTAAAAGTGAGGCAAAGAGGGACTGGGGGAGTAGTGGCTATCACGGAGGTCCCAAGAGTGGCAGGGCTCAGCAGCAAGGCCTGCAGTGGTGCTGGCGGTGGTGGGCGGGACTTGTAGAGCCTCTTAGAGGCTAGATGAGGGGCAGGAGGCAGGCACGCGAAACCCCAGGGTGCCAGACAGAAAACGAGCGCCTCTGAAACAAGGTGGAAACGGGGCTAGGGTTGGGGTTAGAGTTCGCCTCCCCCAGCCGAGGGGCTGCACCTTGTTCACATCCGGAGGAGGTGAGGGGCCCTGTGGGTGGGGGCGGTGCGAATGGGAACAGTAGAGGCACAGGGACAGCCTCATCAAGGCTTTCCTTTTGTGCGAAATCTGAGTGAACATAGAAAGTGGCTCCTTCTCTTCCTGGGAGAGACACTGATTGAAGATGATGCCCCTAAGTTGTATCGCAGAAAATGAAGCATGGCTCCTGGTGAGTGTTATTTTCTGCCTCCCTGCCCTCACCCTGAGCGGTGCTGAGGTGCAGCTGCCTCATCCTTCACCGGCTTCCTCTGTGCAGGAGGCTGCGCGCACCCCGGGCGAGGAGCATCTCTCACCCGGACAGCGGGGATCCAACCGCACTCAGGGCTCGCTTTGTTAATCTTCCAAATCCTTCAGGCCAGAGCACAATCCCTTGCAGAGGCCTGAATCAGAGCACCAACAGGAAATGAAGGGGAGAAGAGAGCCGCACTCATTAACCTTTTCCTTTCAATCAGGCCAGTACCAAACTTCTCGCCTGTAACTCTCAAAGCTCTCACCGAATCAGGGTCTCGGAGATGAGTAAATGAAGGAGCTGAAAACAGTTGAGTGACTTGCCCGAGGTCACCCCCACCCTAAGTTTCTGGTCCCAACACCGCAATCCCCTCCATTTCATCCTCTGTCTTCAGTAGAGGCTCCAGGAAGGAGATATTCAGCCTGCCCGACTCTTTTGTTTTGAATAAAAAGTCACATCTGCTTAGGCATCACTGTGGTTGCACCTTCTTCCCCCAATTAATGACAGGGACACTTTCCTTTGTGAAAGTGAAACCCCAAGTTTCTCTCCATGATGGCAGAGGGAGAGTGAATGCCCAGCAATGACTACGCAGAGCCAGACTCTGGCAGGAAGGAAACTGCCCTGTGAGCCATGACTGGCCAAGCATCTCTGAGGGCCATGAGCTCCCCTGCCATGCCACAGGAAAGCATTTCGCACCCTATAGGGGCCTGCAGGTTACTGAGAAAAAGGAATGAGGGAGAGACATATTTTCTGGATACACTGTTTGTGACAAGTTTTGTGCTCAGTCTTTTTATATACATGATTTTATTTAATCCTCACCGCTTTAGGAAGACATTATTTCCCTGAGGAAACTGAAGCTCAGAGTGTTTACCCAGACGATGAGTGGCTTTTCTGGGAGGCAGGTGCAGCCCTGGGTGCACCTGAAGCCTGTGTTCACTGCAGCATGAGCCCTAGAAAAAGCCCCTCTAGTTCTAGTTCTGGCAAGCTCTGGTGGCAACTCTCTCATTCTTTTCACCAAGAGTCACCAAAATTAAATCCAGAAAATCAGACTTGTCAGAATGACTGACGTCAAAGGATACCAGAGAGGCATCTTGGGCATCTTGCTCACTTGGGCCTGTGATCCCTGCAAGGGGTGGATCACAACCTGCCCACTGTCAGGATTCAAGGCTGACGATGTACTGAGATGGCTTAGGCACACCGGCTCCCAAACCTGGCTGTGCCACTCACCAGTGCTGCAACCTTGGGCATGTTATCTAGCCTTTCCATTCCCTCAACTACGAATTGATGATAACTTGTTTCCTCCCAGGTTTCTTATAAGAATAAAACAAAGCACTGTTTTAATGCGTTTGGTGCCATACTGGTCGTGTATTGGATAAATTCCTAGCAGGAGTACTTGTTGAATAACTAATACTTGTGCCCATGGACATGTCACTGCCTTGAGCAGTTTGCTCTACAGGGTCATATTTATTTGGAATTATTTAGAGTCACTATTGGAGGGAAAACATGAAAAGGAAAGAAAATGACAGGAGGCAAAAAATAGGGAAGCTGGTGAGTAAAACTTGAGGAAGCTGGTGGAACTGTGTTAGTACATGAGGATCACCTTCAGAGAAGGCTGAAGAGCCCCTTGGGTGAGCTCCAGAGCACCTAGATGGTCATGATGGGTAAAGGAGTGGAAGAGTCATCTTATTTGTGAGGTCATTTTCTTATGAAAAGTGTTACAAGCCCCGTGTGGGGCACGGCTCAGGCATGGGTGGGGGTGGCACAGATGAGGGACCTCATCTTCATGTCTGCTTTCTCATGATTCCACGCCATCCCTGTCTGAGCAGGCAGTCCTCCACTGCAGCACATGTGGTAGGGCCAGGCTACCTGGGTGTGTTCATCACGCAGATGAACTGCAAATTTTCTGCTTGGCATTATCCCCACACTGCCATCCTTTCTGGACAATCCTTTCTTGCTCTGATGACTTTAAAAATAATTATTTTTCTGTTTCTTTCTACTGAAAAAGACAAGGAGAGAAATCTATTACTGGACTTAGGCTGCAGCTTCTAATTTAGTCATTAAAACCATTTGGGAGTCCTTAAGCCTTTTACATTGATGGCCCTAGGACACCCTTTTCCCAATTTCTGAAGTCAATTTCTAGTAAAGTTATAATACCTGCTGATGAGCATGTGATGTGAGGAGAATCTTGCTTTAAAAAAATTACCAAAACATGATTCTGACAGATTCTCAGTTTTAAGAGGCTTGCAAGGTGAAGAGACAGTGGTTTGCAGTGTTTACAGTCCACAATGGAAGCTCGCCTGAAATATCACAGATTTAGAAAGCAGGAGGATTTGCTAAAGCTAAGCTCACTTCTGTAATAACATTTTTTTAACTGCCTTTGTTGTTAGGCTGAAGGCAGTTCACCTGCTCATTTGTCAAATTTGTGATTCTATTGCCAAGAAAATGAGAGAAACAGGCAGAAAAGAGAAGAGGGAAAACATTTGTTTCAAAAAGAAAAATAAAGGTCTTTTTCTGACATGATTTGCCATGCTCCATCTCTTAGATGGCAGACAGCACACCAGTTGTATGGTAGCCCCTCGGATACATCATACTTGGATTATCTAAGATTACCTAAGTAGATGTGGGTTTTAAAGATGTGAAAATTATGCATTAGAAGTCTACATGGTCCACAGAAGAGACCACCCTGAGAAGAAGCGCAGTTCCCCCCAGGATGCCACTCACCCCTTATTCTGCCCTGGAAGACCATCCCAATCCCTCGTTTATTTCTATAGCCTTGACTCCATCACTTTAACCTCTTTCCTTCAAAATCTGTGCTCAAAATTGACTTCTTTCTTCAGCTTCCACAAACCATCTTGTTCCTAACACTTCAGGCAAGCTCTGCCAATGCTATTCACTCTCACCTCCCACCCCAACCCTCTACCCACTTAGCAAATTCAGTACAAATAACAGCTCCTCTGCTGAATCTTTTCTGACCCCTCATGGGCTGCCTTATGGCCTCTCTGCTGTTTCTGCTCGACTCCATTGACCCTCGATCTTTACCAGTCAATGCCAACAAGTGGCAAAAAGGGCAGTGCCACAAAACATCCTGTCCTTTTTACATGCCCACATACTCACCTTTTTTAGGCTCATGAAATCATGGGGATTTATTTGGGTAAACATGGAGAAACTGAGGCACAGGGCTGTTTTAGCTTTAGAAAGTATGTACATCAGGAAATACAGGTTAAGATTTGGGAGTGCTGGACAGTGTTTACCTGTGGATCAATGATACTGAGTGAGCTCAAAAAGAATTTTAGGAGAAACTGCCATGCTGGACACAAACCAACAGCAAAGCAGTGAACTCACTTACTCGTCCCTCACTAGGAGCCAGGCACAGTGCTAGATGCAGACAAGATGAGGTCTGGTCATTGAGGAGCTAGAAATTAAATAAGGAGTTGGACAAAGCAGCAATATATTCCACTTGGGGAAAATGATAATATCTGCATGATTTTTTTTTCTAATAAAACCTAACTGGAATTTTTTAGTCTCCATCCACTATCCTTAGTTCTGCCCCCTGGTGGGTCCCACAAAAAGTTCAAAAGTATTCATTGTACAATGGGATACCATTGTTTATGAGCACCCTTAGGCTACTCTCTCCTTGTTGCCCCATGCCACCTCATTCCTTGTGAAACAGCAGAGTGTTTCACTGTTTTCTGTTCTAAAATGATGCCTCCAGCATCCTGGACATTCTTCCCTGGACTCTATCTATCTGTCAGTGTTGTTCCTGAAGTACATTGGCCTGGTCTAGACCTAGTGTCTAGCCATAATATGAACCATACTGCCTAGACCTGAACCACCACCTTCCTCTGTGTTGTCAGCCATTTTCATAATCCATTTCTTGATGGCACTGGCAATGTTTTTCAGAAGATTTGGGATCCTAATTCAGCATGTTTGATAACAACATACTAGACATCCTTCCTTATTCCTGTCATGCAGAAACTTGATGGGAATACTGATATTGCTTTTACAAGTCTACAGTAAACATCTGAACATGATAAAACCATTTACAGCCTTTTCTTTTCCAAAGCAGTGATTTCTACCTTAGTGCCATGGGCCAGGGAGGGAGGCAGGGCATTAGCATAAAGTCATCAGTATTTTATTTTGTTAAGTAAGGGAATTTTTTATTTTAAAAGAAAGAAAAAGATAAAGAAAAAAGAAGGAAAGGAAGAAGGAAAGAAGGAAGGAAGGAAGGGAGGGAGGGAAGGAGGGAGGGAGGAGGAGGAGAGGAGGGAGGGAGAGAGGGAGAAAGAAAAAAAAAGAAAGAAAGAAGGAAAGAAAGAAAGAAAAGTAAAGAAAAGACTACCATCTACAGTCACTATCATTTTATTGGATAAAAGAAAAACTAACCAACAACAGGAAAGATATCATCTTAAAATAAAAAAAGTCTTTACATGACTCATATATTTTGTTCTCTGAAAAGCTCACAAAATGGTCCTAATTTTTATTATTTTACCATGGACACATGGAGACTCAGCCTGATATGTAGGCCCTCTGCACTACCAGGACCTACTCCCTGAAGGATTTCCCAGCATGGACACTGGCTTCTTTCTCAGCTCACCCTGACCTTCACCACCATCCATGTGCTGCATATCCTGGGTTCACAGCACACATTTTGTCCAATACTTGTGAATAAATGGATGTAAAAATAAATATGATTAATAGAAAATAGGCTCCACTGAGTTAAAAATTATCTCCAACAGTTCTTTAACTCAGTGACTATTGATCTGGTGGCAAGAAATGGTTCATTTGTCAGAGGGAACACAGCCAAGAGAACAGTTTACTGCCTTTGTGTGACCAAGTACATTTGTCTTGTGTGACATTGTCTCCTAAGTCTTGCATAGCCACTGCCTTTCAACAGGCCTTAAACCCCTGGCTCTAGAGTCTTGAAGCCCTAACATCAACAAGATGGCATGACAATCCCCAGGACCTCTCATGCCCACAGCTGTGGAAGCTCAGAGATATCTGCGGGCAGCCCTGGGTCATGCACACCAGAGCTCTAAGGTTTATTTAACACATGATTCAATGATGGCTCTCCCTTCCTCAGCCCCCAGCTAGTAACCGATAAGCCTAACTCCAGTCATGTCCATTTCCTGTTGCCTGGTAAATTTTCCTAAATTTCAACTCTTACCTTAGCCTTCCCCAGCTCAAAAATCTTTAAAGACTTTAAATTAGGCCCCCCAAAAGGCCCAAGACTTTAGACAGCATTAAAGGACTCCTTTCATCTGGATTTAATGTATCCTTTCAACTACAGTTCCTTTTAAATGGCCTTTGAAATATCTACTTTGCTTGTTAGTAAGTGTTGTTGTCTTATGTACTTTTCAAGAAAATGAACTGGGAGCCTCCTCAGCACCAGCATAAAGTCCCACAAGAAATACCTCAAAATTTTAGACGGGTGATCAAGGTAGGCAGACACACATAAGTGAAGACACAACTGTTAGTCATATTGTGATCTTCTCCAGTACCTAGCACAGGGTTAGGTACACCATATGTAGTCAATGCGTAGGCATTGGATAAAGAAAGGACAGAAGGCAGAAAGACAAGAAGAAAGGGAGAGATGAGGGAAAGGAAAGGGATGAATGAATTCAAGAGAGCTCAGATTTTAAATTATATTCAGTTCTATTAACTAAATTTTATCTCTGGGACCACAGGGCAAAAGTGCAGGAGGATAAAGCTAAGAGAGTAAGAGTGAGAGGCTTTGAATCAATTCTGTCCACAAAGAGGCAAGGAAAGAAGAAATAAAGTCTCATGTCACAGGCATGGGAACCCCCAGTCTGCAGCAAAGGAGAGGAAATATGAATGTTTAAAGTAAAGGCAAATGGGCCAAAGATTTGGTGAAAGTCTATCGCAGAGGTGCCTGGTGACTTACTTACAACTGCCCCTCTGCTCTGTGTCCAGGTCTTCTTCCAGGTGCTAGCTCTGCTAACCAAGAGTGGTCCCAGCCACCCATCAGGCACTTGCCTGCAGTTCCTCAAAAGACAGAAGCCACACAAATTCAACAACTTTAAATAGACATCCCCCGCAGGTTCTCTGCACAGTCTACTTTGTTGCTTTCTCAGCAAGCTCCATCCTGTCCACCTGCTTCATTTCTCCAGGAAACCCAGTTTGTGACTCTCCTCTGATCAACCAGCTTCCTCTTCTAGACCTTCACTTACCATCCAGACCTCCTACAGCTGTGGCAAGTCTAAATCCTATAATAAATCCTTTATTCCACAGTACTCATTATGAATTTCCTTCCCTGATTGAACCCTGACTAGTAGGAAATGAGGAGGCCTCTATATGCCCGAACTTTTATAGACAGGAAGCAGCCTGAGAAAGCTATTTCTACTGTAAACATGAAATATTTCTTTTTCTTTTTCTTTTTCTTTTTTTTTTTTTGAGATGGAGTCTCACTCTGTCACACAGGCTGTGGTGCAGTGGTGCGATCTCAACTCACTGCAACCTCTGCTGCCCGGGTTCAAGCGATTCTCCTGCCTCAGCCTCCTGAGTAGCTGGGATTACAGGCTCCTGCCACCGTGCCCAGCTAATTTTTGTATTTTTAGTAGAGATGGGGTTTCAACATCTTGGCCAGGCTGGCCTTGAACTCCTGACCTTGTGATCCACCTGCCTTGGCCCCCCAAAGTGCTGGGATTACAGGCGTGAGCCACTGTGCCTGGCCAACATGAACTATTTCTTAGGTAAAAGGAAATGTATTCAAATGTTCCCAGAATTTGTTTTACTCGGGTATGGTAAGACAGCAGACACAGGAATGATCGTCATGAAGGAAGAGGTTTATACTCACAGATTCCTAGAGACAGGAGGCATGGCATGTCATGCAGGGCCACGTAGAGAAGCATCAGGGACAGTCAGGAGGTTAGAGAAGGACAGGATGGGGAACATGGCCCATAACCTTTTTGGGGGGTTTTTGCAGGAAGGAACAGAGGAGACAGGGTAGTTACATTAAATAAGCTCAAGATTTGATAGCTTGAATAAATTCAGGCAGACTCTGGGCTGCATGGGTGGTTCCTTGTTGTCTGTGATGTAGTTCTGGGATGATTTGTGGCAGGGGGAATGTTGGCCTGGTGTGTGAGAGTTTGATAAAAAAGATGGCTGGTTGGTTCGTATATCAAAGGCATGTTCCCAGGGAAGTTATTTGCAGTCGCTAGAAATTACCTTGCTGTGGGAGGAGCAGTTTCTCCAGGACTGAATCCCCAGATGCCAGACTTTCAAGAATACAGTAAATAATAAAACATAGTCAATACAGAAGAGATGATTCAGAGAAATGGAGGGCCAAGTCAACAAAGCTAAGATCTAAGGAGAACCATCACCAGGGAGCAAGACTGAATTCTAATCACTACACATCTCCCGTCCCCAGAGTAGGGGGACTTAAGACACATGCCCAGTGGCTGGGCACAGTGGCTCACACCTGTAATCTCAGCATTTTTGGAGGCCAAGGCAGGTGGATCACTTGACCTCAGGAGTTCAAGACCAGCCTGGGCAACATGGTGAAACCCTCTCTCTACAAAATATATACAAATTAGCTGGGAATGGTGGTGCATGACTGTAGTTCCAGCTACTCGGGTGGCTGAAGTGAGAGGATCACCTGAGCCCAGGAGGTGG
The DNA here is from genome assembly GCF_000001405.40 of Homo sapiens. NCBI lineage: Eukaryota > Metazoa > Chordata > Mammalia > Primates > Hominidae > Homo > Homo sapiens. The sequence continues at coordinate 85,246,451 of NC_000010.11, forward strand.
AGGTTGTGGTGAGCTGAGATTGCACTACTGCACTCCAGCCTGGTCGACAGAGGGAGGCCCTGTCTGAAAGAAAGAAAGAAAGAAAGAAAGAAAGAAAGAAAGAAAGAAAGAAAGAAAGAAAGAAAGAAAGAAAGAAAGAAACAGAGACGGAGGGAGGGAAGGAAGGGAAAGACAAATGCCCAGTTGCAGCCGCAGTCTAGAATGGCCGTGGAGCAGTGGTGTTTATGTGCCTCCCTTTGAACATGAGTTGCTGTCGCAGTTGTCATATACTTGCCCCATCATTGTATGTTCGGTTATGTCTCTTTAATTCAAAGGCCAACAGATAAAGAAAAAACATACTAAAGGATCTACTCCCATGGAAAGACACCTCAGGGTCAGTTTCTCATAAGCTCTTGGACCTGAATGAATGAAAAGATCCTGGCCTTCAAGCCTAAATCTGATGTCATAATTGGAAACAATTTTTGTGTTTTTTTAGGGTGTGGGGGAGTATGTTTTCCTTTGGAAGAAGCATAAGTAATTTGTGGCCAAAGGGGGAACTGTGAATAATTAAAGATGGTCTTAACTTCTTTGTTTTCTCCACTCTTCTCATCTAAAGGTGAGCCATATTCCCCTCCTTTTGAATGTGGGGTGGCCTTTTGATCTACTTTGACTAAAAGAATATGGTGGAAGAGACCCTGCATAACTTATAAATCTAGACCTTCAGGAATATGCAGTTTTTGTGCACTAAAAACACTCTCTCAGAGCCCAGTTGCTACACAGAGAGAAACTCAAGCAATATGGAGAGTTCAGGTCAATGACAACCATGCTCCCTAGTTGACAGCCCAGCTGAGCTCCCAGCAAACAATGCTACCAAAATCAGCCATTTGAGTGATTCTAGCCTGCAGATGATTGCAGTCACAGCCAACCAAAATGAGGAGCAGAAGCACCCCCCACGTTAAACCCAAGCGTGCTTTAGAATTGTGAGAGATAATAAATGGTGATTATTGTTTTTAAGCCATTCGGGGAGGCACAGAGGGAGGGTTGTCACACCACAGTAGATCTGAAACAAGGGAAGAGCAAACTTGGAGATGCTTTAAAATAATCTAGAGTGTGGTGTCCGGTCTATGTTCTCAGATTTTCCCATTAGATATCCTTCTAAATGTCTATTTGTTTTTATCTCTCTCTAAAGAACCACCTTCCTCCAAAAGGAGAGCAGCCACAAATCAAACATTTGGGACACATTTGATTGTCTATTTGGACAGCTCTTATCTGTCCTTTGGGAAGTTTTCTTCTCCACTCCCTTATGTTAACAGAGACAAAGACTCTTAAAACAAACAAAAAAATTAAAATTTCCTTCAGAGATTAACGCTCTCGTATATAGAAGTAAGAAGCCTTCTATAGGTTCTAGCCACTCTGTATTCATTTTGCTTTTATATTGCTGCTGGCTAATCTACATGACATAAAAGTATATCTCTGTACTCTTATAACAATCTATAAATTTCCTTTATAGATTGGTGTCTCTGAATGAAGAGTTAGCATAGTTTATTTATGTGGTTCTAGCTGCACTGTTTTTATTTTACTATTGCATTGCTTTTGGCAAATCTACATATCATAAAAGGATATTTGTGCCTGCTTGCCTGAAGCTTGTTAATATGTTTCCAAAGTTGCCTAAAACATGATTAAGATTACTCAGGACAGTCATCAGGCCTTGGGATCCAAATTAGGTCAACCTAATTTGGATGGTGCCCTTGAGCTCTTCTATTCCTCAACCTGGCAAAGAAACTTGGAGCACTGAGATACACGAACACATAGGTTGCCTGACTTAGTAAATAAAAATACAGACCATTTAGTTAAATTTGAAGTTCAGATGAACAACACAGCTTTTAATAATGCAAGTCCATTCTATTCAATATTTGGAAACACTTAACTAAAAACATATTAAACTGGATGTCCTGTGTTTTACCTGACAACCCTATCATAAGGTCACACCAAGGTGTAAGGAGACCAGGTGTGTTTCCTATAGTCCTACATCCTTTAACAAAATGTGTTTTTCTGCTTCTAGGGGATTCATAGGAATGTGGTATGAAAAAGATAATATAGACTTCCCAGAACGCTGTGAGGTAGGGCAAGAGACCTCACATCTCTTGGGCACCAATAATACATCCCAAATTTCACATATATTATTTCACGCAATTTTCACAACAATCTGGACAGATGTGAGTGTAGTCACTTTGCTAATGAAGAAACATACACTTAGAAAAGGGTTTGTCCAGGTTCCGCAGCACTTAAGTTGAGGCTCAGCTCTCTGACCCAAATCTCTCTGGTTCCCAAGACTATGTTCTTATAGCTCCACAACATGCTGACCTCCAGGGAGCAGATGGGGACAGTGGGGGCTGTAAGGGGGGCATGAAGTTCTTGCTATTTTTCTGTCACTCTTGTGCCTTTTGTGTGTTCCCTTGTTGCATGACATTTGCGAAGCTTGTTGATAACTGTATACTTTACTGAGGACAAAGAAAAGTAAGAGAGAAACTGGGAAGATGTAGAAAAGACATGAAATGTGGCTCTTTTTTAATCTCTGAAGGCAGAATAAGTTCTTATATAGTGACTTAAACAGTCCCTTAGCCACTTTCTCTTGTCACCATACAGATGGCAGCAGGTTCTTCTTCCATGGAAAGGGAGCCGAGCAGGGGGATTGCTCTGAGGTAAACTTATGGCTAAGTGGTCCCTCTTTGATCACTCAGAGTCCTAGCAGAACAAAGTCTATTGTTACATGGCACAAAGTAAAAATAAGAAGGCTACTCTTCTGAAGGTGCAGAGGAGGTCTCTGTGTCTTGGAATATTGTAGGAGGGAATAAAGGGAGAAGAAAAATGAGGACACAAGGCAATGTAAAGTAAGTTATGAGTCCCAGTGCTGTGTAGTTATAACCTATGCTGCTTGGTGTAGATATAACCCTGCAAGCAATATATAGGACTTCAATTGTAAAAAGGTAGTGCATATTATATCACCCCTATGTGGAGGTTTATTTTCCACAAAGGAACAAGCCAAGACTTAGATTCAAGATGTTAGCAGATTAGTTTCTTTTTCATGGAAGACGGACACCTCTTAGCCAAGTTAAGTGTCTTAGTGCATTTGGGCTGCTGTGACAAAATACAATAGACTGGTATCTTATAAACAACAGACATTCATTGCTGGAATGATTGGACATTTCTTAGCCAGGTTAAGTGTCTTAGTCATGGAAGACTGACACCTCTTAGCTAGGTTAAGTGTCCTAGCCCATTTGGGCTGCTATAACAAAATACAACAGACTGGTATCTTATAAACAATAGACATTCATTCCTCAAAGTTCTACAGCCTGGGGAGTCTGAGATCAAGGCAGATTTGGTGTCTGGAGATGGTCCACTTTTTGGCTTACAGAAAGTGCCTTCTTGCTGTGTCCTCACACAGTGGAAGGGGTGAGAAGTCTTTCTCAGGAATCTTTTATAAGGGCACTCATCCCATTCTTGAAGGTTCTTCCCCATCACCTAATCACTGTGAGTCTGTTTAAGTTATAAAGAGACTGGGTAATTTATAAAGAACAGAAATTTATTTCTCATAATTCTGGAGACCAAGAAGTCCAATATCAAGGTGTGGGAAGATTTGATGTCTGGTAAGGTCCTTCTCTTGGTAGAAGCCTCATATGGCAAAAAGCAGAAGGGCAAAAAGGAGTGAACACAGCGTCCTCACATGGTGGAAGAGCAGCAGTAGCAAACTTGCCCCCTTGAACCCTTTTTATAAGACAATTATCCATTCATGAGGGCATAGCCCTCATGGCCTAATCACCTCTTATAGACCCCACCTCTTAATACCACCACGATGAGGATTAAGTTTCAACACATGAGTTTTGGAAAGGACACATTCAAATCATAGCGCCACCCAAGGGCCACACTTCCTAATACCATCACCTTGGAGCTGAAGATCTCAACGTCTAAATTTGAGGGGTATACAAACAGTCAGACCATAGTATTAAGAAATTCCAATCTTGGCTTCTATTTTCCATCACTTCTTTTCTTATACCAGAGAGCTGAAAATAAACTAGTCAGCATTTATCCTTGAGCGTGACCTAAATCATTTTCTGGAAGGATGCTGTCATGAAGGGAAACCAATGGCCCAAAGCTGAACTGAGCAGATGATTTACAAATACTTTTGTCCCGTTGAAGCATGTGGTCCGCATGCTCCTGGGAACCATGATACAGGAAAAGGGTCCTAACTGGCCCTCAGCCACTCTCATTTGCCATTCAGAATGGTTCTTTTCCAAGGTCCACACAGGCTTACATCACTGCCAGCATTACAACTTTGGAGAATTCTCACAGCAGGCAAGATAGAGCAAATTCACTAAACATACTTCTAATTACACATTACACATTGATTCCCCCAGATAATCGTGGAAGTACCTCTTCTGTTTCTGCAAGAAATGCCTTATGTGTGTATTTCTGGAATGGGAGCTAGTAGATTTCAATTGATTTTCAAAGGAATCCATGAATCCCCAAATTATATTTACTGATTTAGGGTCTACAAACGAAGAATTACTTGAGGCTTTGACTAGAACAGAAACCACCTCTTATCATTGGTTTTAAGGCAGTTTTCGAGGGGCAGGTGAATTAGTATATCCTGAGCAGCAACTGCATGACAGGTAAGTGCAGTGTTGAGATCTGACAGATGTTATCCCCTAGAGTCTTCTAATTCCCCTGTGATGTGTGATGTCCCCCTGACATCCCCCTGTGATATGTGATGTCAGTTTCCCTGGCTCACCGGTGAGTTCACCTACACTTAAAGAAGGTTAGCAAGTTAGCCCAAGTCCATCAGAGCCAGCAAATGGCCCAGCAAGCATGTCTAGCCAGATCTGTCTTATTCCAAAGCTGTGCTTCCTGTTGACTCCTCTTTACGTCTTGACTTGTAGAAGGTCAGTTTGTTTCTTTGCATGTGGACTGGTACTCCACCCCATCCTTACCACTTCTCAGTGCCTAAATTCTTTAGCTGAGGGCCTTTGCTTGCTCTGGAACTCATTGTCACAAGCACAGGAGAATTGACTTGCCCACCTCCAGGACTCCTCAGTTATGACTGATGAAGTTGGTAGATGAATACCCACACTGTTGTCCTTCTGTGAGGTAATGCTGATGAGGGTTCCTATTTTTTTTAGTTTTCCTGAGGCCCCAGTCCCCTGACTCTGATATTAGTAGCTGGTTTGCTAACTCATCCTTTGTTGACTGACATCCTTCCTTGTGTCATTTCTCCATTCACGTGGTGGTGCTTTTCAGACCATCTCTCTTATCTTTATCTAATGGCCTGATCTTGAGAGAGCACAAAGACATGTGGCCTCCACTACTGGAAAATGTATTCAGGGATGGAAGAAGTGTGTGCATACGTGCGTGTACACGTGCATGATAAGAAAGGTGAAAGAAGATGATAGTCTAACATGAGAACTATCACTTCTATCCTAGTTCTGTGTTTTCACTCATAAATGTGATTTAAAAAAAGTACCTACCTTACATAGCCATTGAAAGTATTGAGTAGGACTGTGCATGGTGACTCACACCTGTAATCCCAGTAATTTGGGAGGCCAAGGCAGGAGGATTGTTTGAGCCCAGGAGTTTGAGATCAGCTTGGGAGACATAGCGAGACTGTATGTCTACAAAAAATTTAAAAATTAGCTAGGCATGGTGGGGCACATCTATAGTTCCAGCTGCTTGGAAGGCTGAGGAAGGAGCATTTCTTGAGCCCAGAGTTTGAGGCTGTAGTGAGCCATGATCATGCCACTGCACTCCAGCTTGGGCAATGGAATGAGACCCTGTCTCTAAAAGGAAATTTTTTTAAAAAAAGGAAAGCGTGAAATAGCATGATATATGAAAAGCTTTTGTCCAATAGTAGCTGTTCAACAAATGTTGAATGATTATAGTAGAGTTGAAAGGTCATGCACTTTGGAGGTTGAAACACCTGGATTTAAATTCTGGATCTGTAACTTCCTAGCTTTATAGATGTGGGTAAATTACTCAGTTTTAGTGTTTTTGCCTGTGCTATTGGCATAAAGATATGCTCCACATGGGCCGTTCTGAGGATCAAAATAAGCAATGTACCTAAAGCAGCTACAGACAGGACACTGAGTTCTCAGACCACAGGAGCAACTGTGCTTCTGCTTCTCCCCCTTCTTCAAGGACACAGACAGAAACTTCTGGACAGGGTGAGGTTTCCCAGCCTTCTCAGTCCTACTCTAGCAGGAATTAAAATCACACTTGCAATTTCTCCTAGTGATTGATAGGCATTTCATGATGATTTTATCACTTGGTGGACGATGAAAGTCACTCAATGATTAGCTGGATTCCTCCATTAAAACCCACCGCCCAAGACATACTCTAATTACTCACAAATTCCTGTTAGGCTTTATAGTGTAATTGCTATTCATGGTCCAATTAAGGGGCAATTGCAAGCTGAGGAAAAAATGTGCTTTATTGCTTCAATTTTGAAATCCGTGTATCTTGGAGCCTTAATCTACTGCTGGTCTACAGGGTTCCACACACAGCAATGCCCATGCTGCTACGATGAGGCTTGTGGGGCAGCCTTCTCCTTGCCAGGCTTCTACGGGAGAGCTCTCTGGCTGACAGTCGAGGCTCCAACAAGCTCCAATGTTCCATATTCTAAAAGACAGAAGGACAGGCTAGGGGATCTGCTCTTTCTCGTATGTTTAAGATGTTGAAAGAAAATCATCAGGCTCTTTTAGAAATGAGCTACTAGGGCAGGTGTGGCTTTGTTAGGTTGGAAGATAGCCACCCCCAGAGGGAAGACAACCTGCAAATGTTTAGGAGAAATGCAGACCCCATCCAGAGGGCTGAAAATCCAGGCCAGATTGGGTTCAAATCCTTGGTCTATCATTTTCTAGTGGTGTGACCTTAGGCAGGATAGTTCTCAATGCCCAGTGTCCCTATCTACTCAATAGGGATAAAGACAAAGCTCACTCTTCAGGATAATTGTAAGGATCAAATGAGATAATGCATGGAAAGCAGCTAGCAAATAATCGTTTCATAATCGGCATCATTTTCATCACCACCATCAACACCAACATCAATGCTACTAATTCCACTGCATATAATTATTCCATTCTGAGCAAGTGGGTCAGGAAGAGATAAACCTTCTGATTGTGGTAATAATACACGACAGAGCTTAATAAAGGGTTAAACAACATTAAATAGGTTTCTGAGTACTGCTCTGTGCCTTTTGTTCCTTAATTTGCCTTGTAAGTCTCAAACAAAAGTGGCTATGAAGCAGCAAGGAGCAAAGTGTCCAAGAATGTAGACTTCGAAGTCAGAGACATCTGGATGCAACTATCTGGTTCTGCACTAACTCTCCTCTTGACTCTCAGCCTCTGCATATATAAAATGTGTATAATTGTGATTCCTTCATAGATTTATTTATGAGGATTATACGAGATAATATACAAAAAGTACTTCCCACAGTATGTGCACTTACACATCCAATAAAATTTCTCTCACTTATTATCATCTTTTTAAAAAAAAAAAAAGGAATGGCATCATACTATTTCATGGAAGCTGCCCAGAGCCTCTCTTCCAAAATTTATGGAATTCTATGAAGAGGACAAACATCTCTTCTGAAGCTTTCTCTCAGAACATCACAGTGCTATTGTACAAAGTGAAGGTGGATGCTGGATGCAGAAAACCAGATTTGACTGGTTTTGTATACAATTCACACTTCCCAGTGGATGCATAATGGAGAGGTGGTTGTATTGCCACTAAGGGATTAGTCAAATATGTGTGAGAGAGATGCTTTTCTGAGGAGAAGCAGAGCAAGTTTCCAAGAAAGCTGGGGTTTGGGATAAATTCAGAATATGTCCAAGTAAGCACAGAATGAAATCACTGGCATGATGGTGAAATATACCCCAGTGATCAAATCATTCCTTGGTCTACTAGGAACTGTCTTTTTGTCAGAAAGTGCGGGGACTTCTCCAACAGTCCTTGCTCTAAGAGGCATCATGGAGGATGCCGTGTCTGAGGTTCTCAGGGTGCCCTTGTTTCCCAGTTCCCACCTTTAGCAAGACCCTTGGAGTGTGGAAGAAGTTCTGCTTTCCAAGCACTACCGAGTTGGTGGGGACATTGCCATTTCATCCACCTGCAGAAGATTCCACCAAGCCTTTGTTTGTATGCCCAGAGGAATAGACTTAAGGATTCCTTCATCTTCCAGAAGTTAAAACCCAGATCCATAGATCTTATAGTTGAGGAGGAGGTGGTTAAGCTGCCTTTTACTATTTCACCAGAGACTTCAAATCATGCTAAACCTAATGGGTCATTTTTCCTCTGAGTTTGGCCCCATGGTTCCCAGGTTCCCATTGTTGATGCATTACCTTCTCACACTCTGGTCTGGTCCATTTGTTTCTGCTTCAAATTTCCCAGAGCCTTATGAAGGCGACGTTCATAGATTTTCCCGTTTATGTCATTTCCTCATGCTTAACAATGATCTGTTGGCTTTCATTTCCTTTAATGACCTTCTGAATGGGGACATGTTCCCTTGGCATTGTCACATGTCTGATGCTGGCCTGATGTCAGAAGGTGAAATAGTTTTGCATGTTGATGACCTAAAAAAGGGCTGTTCTCCACCCTTTTGCATGTAGGAGGCAAGTCCCAATCCAAAAGGGGAGGGTATCAGAGACAGGCAGGCTGGGGCAAGGTAAAGAATGAAACTTTTAGAGCCAAATAGACAAAAATGTGATGTATAGCTCTGACACTCTCTAAATATCTAGCCTTGGGCAAGTCACTTAAAGGCTTTCTGCCTCAGTTTCCTCAGCTGTAAAACTGAGCTTGTGCCTATAGACATTGTGAGATAGTGGTAAGGGTTGTGATATTACTGCCACTATCAGTAAGAATATGAGATCCCAGGAATTAAGTATCAGATTGTCTGTTCCACACTGGCTTCTCCAGAGATGAGTGGATATCAGTAAATACAAACATCCCCAAAGTTTAAAGGATGATTAAAACAATCTACCATACTTATTTGTTTGCATATCTCTCTCTCCATTAGATTGTGGGTTTCTTATGGGCAGGAACTGTGTCTTATCTTCATTTGTACACCCAGTAATCAGTAATCAGTAAACATTCATTGAATGAATGCAGATGTCAGCTGTATACGGAGGCTAAATCAAGGACAGTGGCCCCTACTGCAGGAAACAGGCCAGCCTAGAATGAACACCCTCTTAGTCAGGAAAGGGCATGAACCAAGGAGAAAGGCAATAACCTAAACTAACCGAGGACTGAGAGAAGGGCAAAGCAGTTCTGAGAATAGAGGAGCCAGTCCTGGGTAGACGTCCGGAGATCTGGAACTTCCTCAAGGGTTCAAGGATTCAGTCTAAGAGAAGGTGAGAGCTGAGCTCCAAGGGGCTGGGCAAGGACAGCCTCGTCAGTAGGGGGGATGAAAGGAAGACACTTCACACACCCATCATGGTTTATGCAATTTGAGATTGAGCTATTTTGCTGTGGCCCTTGTAGGAGTCTTGATATAAATTTCTTCATGGCAAATGAGTTTCCCAGTGTTTGCAGACTCCTCAGGAACCTCAGGGGACTCACAGTACAGTGAGTTGTTGGAGCTGGAACAAGTTCTACAGAAGCTTAGCTGGGGTGAAAGCTCAGCAGACCTTGCAGGGCCACAGTGCACACACATGCACACACATGCACACACATACAAATGCACCTTTCTTCCAAGGGCAAGAGGAGCCACCCATCAACCTGCACAATCCTACTCCAAGGGGAAGAAGCAGGTAGGAGTGTGACTGCAGGCTTCCCACCACTCTCAGTCACAGCACCCACTGCAGAAAACCACTCTAGGGTGACTCTCCCTCGGAAGGCGCCCACTGGTAAATTGATGGGCCCCAAATGTATCAGGGTACATGCCTGAGGAATTTCTTTCAGATTACACAGTAAGAGATGGGAAAACCTGAGGCATAAGAGGAGGAGGGGAAACTGAAATGGGAGGGAGGCCTAAAATGAGGTAAGGAAAGAAGGAGTTAATCAGCTATAAGTAAAATGACTGCCACGGTGCAGGGTGCCCAGCCTAGCCCTAAATAGGCTTCTATTTCCAAAGCCCAGTGAAGAGGAATTTATCTTAAGTTCTTGTTAATGCTCTGTACAGGGAACGCTCCTGCTGGGAGCGCCTGTGTGCACCAGGAGACAGCTGCCTTGTGCGGCTGGATGATGGTAGAATATATGGTAATGATGTCATCATCATCTTTGCTCCCATTAGAATGGATGGGGATTATTCCCACTGAATCATCCGAGGCTGTCTGCCTTTTCTCTGATGATGTACACAGCTTTGCCTAGCAAATAATCCTAAATGAGAGACACATTAAGGGCATTGTTGGAAAGGGTGGTCACCTGGGAGGCTCACTCAGGCCTTCTGCAGAGCCCCAGGCAGGTGCATCTCCGGGGCCTTCCATCTCCTCCTTTGCCAGTCCCTCCGGAGCAGCCAGATGCTGTCATTCAGTTATTGGGTCACATTCTATACAGGGAAACCGAAGGTAATAAAAATAGCACCTCACATTTGAAAAATGTTTTACAATTTCCAAAGTGCTTTTCATACCTGTCATCTGATTCATTCCTCAGAATACCCTTCTCCATGAGGCAGGAAAATATCCCATTTGACAGAAAAGAACATTGCCTGGCAATGTCATCTACCCAGCATCCCAAAGAAGATCCTCTTAAGCCTGCCTCAGTGGTCTTTCTTCTGCTAGGTTTTTCTCCTGCTCAACAGGAGGTCAGGAGAGGCGTGTCCTCTTATTTCATTGCCAAGGCCCCTCTGCCCTCCACATCCAATCGACAGCTGCATTCTGTTCATTGTTAATCATGCTGTCTGTCACGGCCAGCCCCACCATTCTATCTTGGTGCAGACGTAATCCCAGTCTTACTCACTTTCCCCCTCCCCAGGCACTTTCCCCAAAACAACAAGTACGACCATGCCCCATTGCTACTCAGATTTTCCCAGTGGCTTCTTAGGACAAAGTCCTGGACCCAGCTTGGCCCATAAGATCTGTTACTGGGCTGCCAGTCACATCTCCCTGATGCTTTGTGCTTCAGTGACCTATGACCTTTTCCAAATATGGAGACCTCTCTTCTCCAGGTCCTTGATCATGTGGCTGCCTTCCTGGAATTATAGCAATTGTAATCATTCCAATAATAATAATAGTGAGGACAATAAGGAAGTTGATGATGAGCAGATTGATGGCTTACTATCGGTTATCAAATGTTACCTCCTCAGAGCAACCTTTCCCAATAATCCTCCCTAAGATTTTCTACCTTCTCTCATCACTCCCTGTATGAGAACCCTGTCTTTAGCTTGCTACAGCTTATCTTATGTATGTGTTTGCAGGGCAATGTCCTGTCTCCAATCCCACTGCCACTAGCAGAGTGTAAGCTACTTGAGAACAGAGACAGCATGTCAGGTGCAATGGTTAATTTACTTGACTGAGTGAAGGGATATCCAGATAGCTGATAAAGCATTATCTTTGGGTGTGTCTATGAAAACGTTTCTGGAAGAGATTAATATTAGAATCTGTAGACTAAGAAGAGAAGATCCACACCCACCAATGTGGGTGTGCATAACTTAATCAGTTGGTGGCCCAATTAAAACAAAAAGGCAGAAGAAGGGGGTGTCTGCTCTTTGCTTGAGCTGGGATGCCCATCTTCTCTTGCCTTCACATATCAGTACTCCTGGTTCTTGAGCCTTCAGAATCTGGCCTTCCTGGGACTCTAGTTTGCCTGGGACTTTTCAGCCTCTGTAATCATGAAGCCAATCTCTCATAATTCATCTCATTCTACATATCTATATATGTTCTACTGGTTCTGTTTCTCTGGAGAACATCATGTGTGTTCACTCTGTGGCCTTATGCCTAGAACATACCCATGGTCATGGGGCTAAATGAGTCAGGATTATTTGACTGATGAGGAATCTGAGACTCAAGCAACTTAATTAACCACTTAAGTTCAACCAGGTCTGAAGGGTAGAGCCAAGAGTTGATTCATGGTTTGCTGTCCCTAAAGCCAGCTTCTGGTCTCAAGGTCGCATGGTCCAGAAAACTTTCTCTAGTGTCTCCAAGACAGTGTGTCTCAGCACACATGACCTCACATGCTCCCTGTCCCCAGTAAGGACCCCTTAGTACTTAACCTGTCTTGTAACTGCCCATTCATGTATGTCTAGACTACAAGCCACTTGACATCAGGAATGGTGTCTCATTTACTAGAATATCTCTACTGCTTGTTACGATAATCGAAACGAAGAGGATGCTCCCTATGTTGAATACATATGGAAGTAAGCAAGGATTGTTTTATCAGGTGCCCCTAGACTTAACATTACTCTAAACCAGTGCTGCTCAAAGTGTGGTCACTGGACTAGTGACATTCCCTGTGAACTTATTATAAATACAGATTCTCAAGCCCCATCCAGATATACTGAATCAGAAACCTGAGGTGTGGCCCAACCATTTGTGTTTTAAAAAGCATCCCAAGTTACTCTGACACACGCTAAACTTTGAGAATCACTGCTTTAGACCAAGGACTGACACCCCTAAGCAAACTTAACACAGTCCTGGCTGATTCCCAGATTCTCTTGGGCCATGGGATGCTGTGGTCTCTGAGTTAAAGGCACTGCAAAGTGTAATCACTGAACCCCTTTTTGAAGTCAGCTGCAGCACATCCTGCCATAGAGGGCACACTCACACAGCCCTTCTCTAGACAATGTCTTCTTGGTCTCCTGGAAGAACGTCCTGCCATGGGAGGAGCCCTGTGCAATGGGGTTTTCCCCACCCATGACACATCTCCCGACCTCCCCAATACCATATGTGTCTATGGCACACCATTCATGTTCTCCAGAATCCGGCTTCCTAGCTGTACCTCAGTGCCCCCTTTGCAGGATCTGTGCTCCTACCTTGTACTCAGTGAGAATGCCAGGTTGGCCCTACTCCTTCAGGTGCTATCAAAAGTCCTGCTGGCTTCATTTGCTCTTCTGCTCCTTAAGAAGCTGGATGAGCCCAATCTCATTTCCCAGATTCCTGATGCTGGGGAACTACTATCCTCCTCCCAACACCAGTGCAGATTGGAGTGGCCCTCTGGAGATGAAATGATTTTGCTAATGGCTTTCTTCATAGTCAAGCACACTAACTAGTACTTCCCAGAGCCTCGTCCTCACCTGTGTCCAGCTATGCCCCTAATACTGCAGGCCTGACATCAACTCAACCTGCCTGTAGACTGGGTTTTGCAGAAGCTAGCACTTCCCTAACAACATTACATGCTCTTCCAACTTCACCCCCCTTGACAAGAGACTCACTGCCTCCCAAAGTGGTCCATTTCATTTCTAAAGACTTCTGGCTGTTAGAATGTCCTCTTATGATCCATTCTTCTTCTACATAACATCTGCCCACAGCCCCTGGATCTACAGACTAATTTTTAGCCTCCCTTCCCTACAACCTCCACTCAAAAGTATTTGCTGATGGCTCCCAAAGCACCACCATAACTCTGGGGACGCTTCAAGCCTTATCTGCTTTTTTTCTCACTAATACATATTTTATTTTTAATGAAAAGGAGGCTATGAGAGCCTGCATGAGTCATGCAGTGCTACGAGGCCAGGTAACAGTGTTTCCAGGTTAGGGAAGCAGATGCCAGTGCTGATAAGAGAGAGAAGCAAGTCTCTAAAAATGTGTCGGTGACTGCCCGGAGCTTCCCAACAGCTTATCTCTGAGCAGATGAACATTCCTACTTCAGAATAGCATCATTTTATTTTTAGAACTTGCCCTGTGGAACTATAAGCTTTGAGGGACACAGAAAGCACATGAACCTTCTCAAATTGCTGCAGACCTGTTATGGGAGCATGAGAGAGGAAGCTTGCAAGAAGAGGGAAATGCCAAAGAGTGGGAGGATAAGGGGGATGGAGGTTATTGGCTAGGCCCAAGCAACCCTGACGGAAACATCTAAGCCCAGGTCAAGACCTCTGGTGCAACTCTTTGGTCAGGTGAGTGTAATTCTACAAGTTTCAGCCCATCTCCTCTGACCATACAGGACCTTAGTCACTTCAATAGTATCACTGCAAATAAATCTGACTGGGCAATAATCAGAAATTTCCTGCCTCATCAGTTTATTAGGTATGGAGATCATCTGAGCTTCTAGGGATAATTCTGAGGTATAGCCCCTGAATAACTCAGGCATATTAACATGAGTCCTGGAATCAAACAAACCTACTTTTAAATCTTTGCCACTCATTAGCACTAGGACATTGGACAAATTACCTAACCTCCTTGAATCTAAAATTCCTGTATTTAAAATGGGCATAAGAATAAATAACTTATTTGGAGGTGGAAAATAAACAATACATGGGAGGTTGCAGCAAATAGTCATGAGTATTAAATGGAAGACTAGACCTTTTCTAGTCTAACTTCTTTTGCACACATCTATAGGGTTTCTCCATCACTGCCTCCCTGGATAATAAGCTCTTCCTTGATTCCCCAGCCACATGATCTGGATTCATGTTCTTGCTTCCACATCCATTCCTGGGGGTTGGCCCCAGGTGCAGTTTTCCTGCTTTCTTTTAAATTTGTATCTTCTGTACCTGGAAGTTCCATCATCTCCACCGAACACTTTGATGTCCACTTTTGTTTTGCAGCCTCAGATCTGACTTAACCTACCTGCAACTGGATTGGGCTTGAACGGACCCAATTTGCTACTGAGAAGAGAAAGGTTGAAGGGTTAAGGTAGAAAAACAAAAACCACAAGAGTGGAAGGGGAGATAAAATATTTTCCTTCCATAGGAATACCCTTTCCTGCCTTTCTTTTGCAAAGTAGCATCAAGCCTAATTCATACAACCTAAAATGCTGAAATAAGTTCCAAAAATTCCTAAAATAAGAAAATCTGTGTTTCCTGGCTTCCCATGACAACTTTGGGTTTGACTAGAGTACCTGACAAGGCAGGACCTAAGGCATCAGAGTGTTGCAGGATGGCAGAGAAGGAAGAGTCCCTCTGGGGCATAGACCTGAAACTCAAAATGAAATATCCACACATAATCTAGGCCAGACCTGGGAGCCATAACATGAATAGGATCCTCAAAGGAGGAAACAGAGCTGGGAATGGGTACCATTGAGCCTTGGGGCAAAAAACTATTTATGCATAGATGGCTATGCTCTAGGGCTGGAGAGGAATTCTTGTAGTCTGGATTTCTTCCTAGCTTGCCTTTTGTGAGTGTCTCCACTCCTACGGTGGTGTACAGTTTTACCATGAAGTATGGGTTCTTGGAGTCTCTTCATGGCTTAGTCTGGACTTTTTATTCTGCCAGGATTATACCACGTTGAGAGATGCAAATATCCTAGGCACTCATCTGGAAGGTGGGTGATATGCAATGGTCGAGTTGGGTCAGAGGGGCTGGTTGACCAGATGTGGACTTGAGAAAAGCTCTACCACACACCAACTGAATGACTTTGCAGTGAGTTCTTAGCATTTACAAACCTCCATTTCCTCATTTGCAAAATAAGGTAGGAGCCATACTTATGTTCACAATGTTATAGGAAATGAGAAAATAAACGGATATCATTTTACACAGTCTGAAATGCAATAGGACTATCAGATGTTGGTATCATCAATATATTTTTACCTATAGTTTTGGAATAAGAGTATTGACCCAAGTTATTATACGTTATGAAGCTACAAATCATTTATTAGGGCTGTTCTCCATGAACAGACACTGTGTGAAGCTCCATGGGCAATAAAAAGAAACAAAGTTTGATTCACAAGCTCAAGGAATGTATTGGATGACTAGATGAAGTAAAACAAATACTTGTCATATGAGAAGTAAAGTTAGCCTATTCAAAGACATCTAAAAATGCTGTGCCATTGGAGGAGGGAAGGTGACTTGTGTTTACCAAGTGTCTGCTTTGTCCCAGGCATTATGTTAGAGGCTTACAAAGTATATTTCCCGTAATCCTCCGAAATACATTGTGGGGTAGGTTCTATTACTGCCCTCACTAATGCCCTCAGTTGTGAACTGAGGCTCAGAAGGGCCAAATGACTTTCCAAGAAGTCCTGACTAATAGACAATAAAAGAGATTTTAGGCTAGGCACGGTAGCTCACGCCTGTAATCCCAGTACTTTAGGAGGCCAAGGTGGGTGGATCACCTGAGGTCAGGAGTTCAAGCCCAGCCTGGCCAACATGGCTAAACCCCATCTGTACTAAAAATACAAACATTGGTTGGGCATGGTGGCGGGTGCCTGTAATCCTAGCTACTTGGGAGGCTGAGGCAGGAGAATTGCTTGAACCTGGGAGGCAGAGGTTGCAGTAAGCCAAGATTGCACCTCTACAATCCAGCCTGGGTGACAAGAGTGAGACTCTGTCTCAAAAAAAAAAAAAAAAAAAAAAGAGAGAGAGAGATTTTAATCCCTCTGGCTGACTCTTAAGTTCTGCTCTTTCTGGAATATCTCACTGACTCTAAGGAGAGAGAGGGTAAAGAGGAACCATGCAACTATGCACTTCCTCTAGAAGAGATAACTTGTTATTTCTGCATTTTTTATTGGATAACAAGGAAGCTATAAGTAGTTCTGCAAAAGGTAAGTGTAAATCATGGATTTTATTTTTCTGAAATGCTAACTGTGGAAACAAAAGCACAGATTCTCTCATCCAATGCTGGGTGTGAATAGCATGAGTTGGACTGGAAAAGTAACCTCATGCAAGATTCCTGATGGCTATTGTGGGGAAGCATCCAATGATGATTAATTGGAAACCAGCCCAGAATACCTTGATGAGTAAATGAGCCATGGACATTTTCTAAACTACAGCCTCAGAATATATATCCTAGATAAAACAACAGACATGAGTTAAAAAAAAAAAAAGAAATAAAACAAAGAAAGAAACAACTTTATTTGCAAGCATAAGGGATGCAACTTTGTAGATATTAACAGAAGGTGGGGGAAAAACACATTTATTTAGTAGTTAACGTGCCAGCTATTGCGGTGCTCAGTGTTTTGCATACACTGATTGAGTCTTAAGCAAGGCAATATTGAAATAGAATCACAATGGACCTAGAGGAGCAAAAGGATTACCCAGAATACTTGGTCTTGATGCAATGAGGATATAATCATGGAGTTCCCAGGGAAAGCTTGCATGAAAGGGAAGACCACAGAGAGGAAATTGGGGCTGAGGATGGGGTGGAGAGGTAGGAAGATCAACACCTGATGAAATCGTTATAGACCCTGAATCCAGGTGCACCTGAAGCCAGGTCCATCCCTGGATTCCATGGTTGTGAAAGCCATTAACATTTTATCTTAGGTTTAGCTAGCTTGAGTTGGAGTGGCCTCTACTTACAACTGAAAGACTCCTGATGAATATAGAAATGAGCTTCTGGTTTGTCTCCAACAATCAGGATAATGCCAATCATATAGTAGATGCTCAAAGATATTATTGGAATGAGTAAATGATATGCTTAATCGTTACAAGCAATTACAAGCAATGACTCAGAAATAGGACCCAAGCGTCTTGATTTCTAGCTCATTGCTCCTTCAATTACTTTACATGACCTTTTGCAATACAAGGAAAGACTTCTCCCTCCACTACATAGAGAGGAATGTTTTCTTTTTTTAATTATTTTTTATGATTTAAAAAATTCTACAAGCAATACATTAATACTTTTTCATTATAAAAGATCCACCCACTCCACCACACTCCTACTGCATTCTCAATCACAGTTTGCTCTATACTCTAATAGAACTTCTATGCATTTATATAAAGTTAATTAAGTATCAAGTTGATGATAATCTTTGAAATAAAAATAACATTTTAATTTGTCTTAAAATAACCCAAGGAATATATGGGGGGAGGTTGGTGGGATTTAGATACAATAGAATGGGCTGCACTGATAATTGTTGAAGTAGTGTGGTGGATATGTGGAGATTTGTGACCCTATTCTCTCTACTTTTGCATGTGTTTGACATATACAAAATATACAAAAATAAAAAAAGTTATTACACAATGAATGTGTGTATAAAGAATTGAAAAACACAGGAAAAGCAAAATAAGAATATTAAAGCATCATATTTTTAAGTGTATACTCTTGCATGTCATTCTAGATCCTATGTGTACACACACACAAACACACACACACTTATACATAATTCTTTTTTGGTATTTTATTTAGCCAAAATTAGATTAAAGTGTATATATTTTTTTATTATCTGCATTTTTGTTGTTGTTGTTATCATTTTTATTTTATTATTTGAGAGGAGCAGTCTCTCTCTCCATGTTTACATGTCAATATTCAATATTTTTTCTTAATAATGCCAATTTAAATTTTTCTAACCTCGTTTAACAATTCATTTATTTGTCTACAAACATCTATTATAGGACCAGTTATTGTATCTACTTTTTATGCCCTTTAAAACTCATAGGAAAATAGAAACAGCTCTGTTGAGATAATTGGCATATAATTCACCCATTTAGAGTGTAAGTTTCCATGTTTTCTAGTATATTCATAGAATTATGCAACCATCACAACAATCTACTTTTATAATATTTTTATCACTCTCCAAATTAGTAGTCACTCTTCGTTCCCCACCTCCCTATCCACAGCCCTGGAATACCTTCTATCTCTAGACATTTGCCTATTCTGGACATTTTATATAAATGAAATCCTACAATATGTGTTCCTTTATAATTGGATTTTTTTTTAACTTAGCTTGTTGTTTTCAAGAATTGTCTATGTTATAACATGTACTGGTATTTTATTTCTTTTTGTGACCAAATAATATTCTATGAACACACCACATTTTGTTTATACAATATTAGCTTAAGGGCATTTGGACATTTTTTACTTTTTAGACCTTATGAGTAATGCTGCTATAAAAACTTGTGTTCAAGATTTTGTGCAGACATGTGTCTTCATTCATCTTGAGTGTGTATCCAGGTGTAGAAATTGTTGGGTAAATGGTAATCCTATGTTATGCATTTTTTAGAAACTTCCAAGTTGCACAATCTAAATTTGTGAAATATACTGTATGTGAATTGTGTTCAATAAAATGTTTTAGAAAGATGTTAAACATTTCTCTTCAAGGCTTATTTTAAAATAGTTTAGTCCTACTAGTGAGGTTCCTTACTGGGTTATTTATTGAATGTGCTGAAAATTCAATGAGAGTAGTTGGATGGAACTGGAAAATTTATCATCCCTTTCTGAGTTCTGATAATTGCTTTGCTTACATGTCTTCGGTCATTCTTCATCTGGCCCTAGGGGTGGGGAAAATTACTCCACATATACACAGACACAGACCAAAGAAAAACCTATGAAACTTTCTGTTTCTTTATCTCTGTGTATCTTCTTGCTCCATGGTAGTTACCCTGGAAATTCTAGCTGCCTCAGCTCAAAAAACTCATCTCTTTATCCTCAACCCAGTGAGACCACAGTTCTATGACTGAACTCTCCTGCCTTCCCACTGGAAAACCTTTCTGTAGAAAGTAGCTCAGGCTCAGGCAATTATAGATCTCACCTCATTTGTTTCTTTTTACTCAAATATTACTGTCCTGTGATACCTTTTTTTTTTTTTTTTTTTAGGTTTTGTCCAGTTTCTACTTGTCTATGTAAGAAGAATGCCACACTCTTATGTCCATTTTGCATTCTATAAATGAATACCTGAGGCAGGGTAATTTATTAAGAATATAGGTTTATTTGGCTTATGGTTCTGCAGATTGTACAAAAAGTATGGCACCACCATCTGCTTTTGGTGAGGGACCTCCAGAAGCTTCTAATCATGGTGGGAAGCAAAGAGGAGCAGGGATTACATGGCAAGAGAAGGAAGCAACAGAGAGAGAAGGGCGGTGCCAGGCCCTTTTTAACAATCAGATCTCATAGGAACTAATAGAGCAAGAACTCTCACTAACCTCAGGACAGCACCAAGCCTTTCATGAGGGATTCACCCCCATAACCAAAACACCTGCCACCAGAATCAACCTCCAACTTGGGAATCCAATTTTGACCTGCAATTTGGAGGGGGCAAATCTTCAAACAATATCAGAGAACAAATCCAGTGTTTCTTCAATCTTGGCTAAAAACACTACTTTGTTTTTTGAGCTGCACCTCCCCAAGTGGATTTCATTTATCACAATTGGTTTTCTTGTAGACATGGGGTAAACAGGTCTGGTAAATCACTGTAACACAGCTGCTCTGAGTTTTAGGTATCCATTTGGGTTTCAGAGTTGTCTTTTACTTGGAAAATACGCCCACGAATGAAAAAATTATTCCATGAGTTTATTGAGGGAAGACAGAAATTGTATTCTGCTTAAATTGTTAAAACTCTCTTGCTAACAAATAAAAGTCATGGCTATAGGTTTATAGTGTATCACTTCCTTTTAGTGTGTATCACTTCCTTTTAGTGTGTATCCCTTCCCAACAATTACATAATAATAGAAAACAGGAATACTTCAGATATATTGAGGGTTCAGTTCCAGACCACTGCGATAAAGTACCTATCACAATAAAGTGAGTCACAGAAATTGTTTGGTTTCTCAGGGCATATAAAGTTATGTTTACTCTAGATGATAGTTAACTGTGCAAGCAAAGCAATGTACATATCTTAATTTGTCACTACTTTATTGCTAAAAAATGTTAACAACTATAGCTGGGCACAGTGGCTTACACCTCTACTCCAGTACTTTGGAAGCTGAGGTGAGTGGATCTCTTGAGGCCAGGAGTTCAAGACCAGCCTAGCAACATAGCAATCCTGTCTCTACACACACACACAAAAAATGCTAACAATTATCCAAGGCTTCAGCAAGTCAAAATCTTTTTGCTAGTGAGGTTTTGCCTTGATGTTGATGACTACTGACTGCTCAGATCTGGTCATGGCTGTTGAAGACTGAGGTAGCTGTAACAATTTCTTAAAAAAACACAATAATTAAGTTTGCCACATCAATTGACTAAATTGATAGCATTTTACCCTCAGTAGAAGTTGTTTCACAGTTGGAGTCAATCCTCTCAAACCCTGCCACTGATTTATCAGCTAAGTTTATGGAATATTCTAAACCTTTTGTTGCCATTTTAACAATGTTCACAGCATCTTCACTACGAGTAGACTCTATCTCAAGAAACTTTCTTTGCCTATCCCTAAGAAGCAACTCCTCATTCATTCAAGTTTCATCCTGAGATTGCAGCAATTCAGTCACATCTTCAGGCTCTACTTCTAACCGTAGTTCTCTTGTTGTTTCCACCACATCTGCAATTACTTCTTCCATTGAAGTCTTGAACACCTCAAAGTCATCCATGAGGGTCAGAATCAGCTTCTTGTACATTTCTGCTACTGTTGATATTTTAACATCAACCCACGAATAACAAAATGTTCTTAACGGCATCCAGAATGTTGAATTCTTTTCAGAAAGTTTTCAATTCAGTTTACTCAGACCTATCAGAGGAATCACTATCTATGGAACCTATCACCTTACAAAATGTATTGCTGAAACAATAAGACTTAAAAGTCATAATTACTCCTTGATCCATGGGCTGCAAGTGGATGTTGTGTTAACATAAAAACATTAATCTCCTTATACATCTTCATCAGAGCCCCAGATGACTAGATGCATTGTCAGCAAGCAGAAATATTTTGAAAGGAATCTGTTTTCTGAGCAGTAGATCTCAATAGTGGGCTTAAAATATTTGGTATATTGTAAACAGATGTGTTGTCATCCAAGGTTTGTTGTTTCATTTATAGAGCACAGACAAAATATATTTAGCATGCTTCTTAAAGGCCCTAAAATTTTCAGAATGCTCAGTGAACATTGTCTTCCACTTAAACTCACCAGCTACATTAGTCCCTCGTAAGAGAGTCAGCCTGTTCTTTGAAGCTTTAAAGACAGGCATTGACCTCTCTGGCTATGAAGGTCCTAGATGGTATCTTCTTCTAATATAATGCTGATTTTTCTGCATTGAAAATCTGTTGTTTAGTGTAGTTATCTTAGCTATACCTTCTGGATAACTTACTGCAGCTTCTCCAACAGAACTTGCTGCTTCACCTTCCACTTTTATATTATGGAGATAGACACGTTAAGCCTCATGAACCAACATGTGCTGGCTTCTAACTTTTCTTCTGCAGCTTCCTCACCCCTCTCAGCCTTCATAATATTGAAGAGAGGTAGGGCCTTGCTCTGGATTATACTTTGACTTACCAGAGCGTAGTGGCTGGTCTGATATTATATCGAGACCACTAAACCTTTTTCCATCTCAGCAAAAATGCTGTTTCACTTTCCTGTGTTCACTGGAGTAGCACTTTTCGTTTTCTTAAAGAACTTTTCCCTCACACTAGTAACCTGGCCAACTGGCACAAGACGGCTAGCTTTCAACCCATCTTGGCTTTCAATATGCCTCTCTTTACTAAGCTTGATTATTTCTGACTTGATTTAAAGTGAGTGACATGAAACTCTTCCTTTTACTTCAACACTTTGAGGCCACTTTAGGGTTACTAATAAGACTGATTTCAATATTGTTGTGTCTCAGAGAATATGGAGGTTTGAAGAGAAGGAGAGAAATGGGGCACTGGCCAATTGGTGGAACAGTCAGAACACACAAATTTATCAATTAAGTTTGCCATCTTACATGGGTACAGTTTGTGGTACCTAGAAACAATTACAGTAGCTACACATCAAAGATCATTGATCACAGTTAACCATAAATATATAATAATAATAATGAAATTTGAAATCTTTCAAGAATTGCCAAAATGTGACACAGAGACATGATTTGAGCACATCCTGCTGGAAAAAAAATGGCACCGATGAACTTTCTTGACACAGGGTTGCCACTCACTTTTAATTTGTAAAAAAAAAAAAAAGGGTAATATCTGCAATATGCAGTGAAGCAAAGCACAATAAAATAAAGTAAGTGCCTTAGCCCATTTGCATTGCTATTAAGAAATACCTGAGACTGGGTAATTTATAAAGAAAAGAGTTTATCGGGTTCATGGTTCTTCAGTCTATACAAGAAGCACGGCACCAGTATTTGCTTCTGGTGAGGACCTCAGGAAGTTTTCATTCATCATGGAAGATGAAGGAGAGTAGGGATCAATGGCAAGAGAGAAGGAAAAGAGAGAGAGGAGGAGGTGGCAGGCTCTCTTCAACAACCAGTTCTCATGGGAACTATTAGAGCAAGAACTCACTAGTTACTGCTAGGATGGCACCAACCTCTTATGAGGAATTCGCCCCCATAACACAAACACCTCTCACCAGGACCCCTCCAACATGGTGAATCAAATTTGAACATGAGATTTAGAGGGGACAAATACCCAAACTATATCAGTATGCCTATATTTTGATCTGAAACCCTTATAGTGTTGCTACCTATGAGCTATGTAAGGACAGGGCCAGGCATTATTTCTCCTCATCTCTCCAGTTTCTGGATTTGTCCAGACATAAAGCAGGTATTAAGTTACTGTAAACATTGAATAAATGGCTGTTAAGAATAAAAGACTATATAATGGGTCCCAGATCCTCCTCAAAGACTCTTTGTCAGAGATCTCTAAAATGTTAAAGGACACATTTTATCAAACATCATATTAAAGGAAGAAGGAGGGGCAAAGATGAGACACAGAGGGATGTGCAGCCAAGACCAATACAAAAGTAACTCTAAGTTCAGTCAACAGTTGGGTTTTTTTCTCCTTGGATCAGGGCTGCTGAGTTTCCATAAGTCAGCATAGTGAGATCTAATTGAAATGGATGTAAGATCAGAAATTCATTTTATTCTGGAAGTAAAAGAAATTGCTCCAGAAGTAACACGCTCCTCAATATTTAACACTCAACATGGCCTCCTCTTCTGCTCAAATTGAGCACAAACATGGATTACTTCCAGCATGGGCTATAAAACATGGTGAATTTAACAAATATGGTGAAGTAGGGAGCTCCAGGTCTCCACCCATTCAGAAAGACAACTAAAAGATGGAAAAAAACTGTCAGAATTAACTTTTGCAGAACCCTGAAATGTAGTTAAAACTTAGAATAATCAGGGGAAAATTTAGTAAAGAAGTAAGTGGCTGCATTATAGTAAGAGAACCTTGTGGCATTTTAAATTACCCACCTACCACACTCCCACTCCGCAGAATATCAAGAGTCATATAAATGGCAGTGTGAATTCCTGGTGCAGGTTACAAGTGCCACAAATAGCAATATAGCCCTTATTCTTAAAAAAATGTTCTAAAAGTTGTGTACTGCAACCTGTCTGTGGCTCCCTTAAAAACTTACACAAGGACATATGTTGGTTTTGCCTAACTGAGAGACTTCCTAGGACAGGGGGCAATCCCTTGGGAAGCTTTTAGTGAAACATTTAAGGTTAAAGTATTGGCTTTCAGCAGCCTGTGGTAAGGGAGAACAATTAGAACAAGCAGTATGCAGACCAAAAAGCCAGCAAAAGAAGGGGCTGGGAAACAAAATATGTAGGGGAATGAGGGCTTTATAAAAGGTTCCTGTCTACAGTGGAGAATCAAGAATGCCAAGGCCATTCTCATGGATGGATGAATGCTCAAAAAAGGACTAAGAAGACCTTAAGATTTCACCTCTGGCTGACATTCAGGCTCAACACAGGCAAAAAGCAAAGGTTAAGGCACAGTTGTAAATGCTTTGACTAACCCTTGAAGAATTACCCTAATACAGAGGCAATCTACAATGGCTTGGACAGGTTATCTGTTTGTTTTTTCTTTTCTTGGCTCCAGGTAGTTAAGAAAACATTGTCAAAACACCATATATGACATGGAACATACACTTTAGAAGAACAGTGTAGGGTAGTCATTAACAAATAACAACTCCTGTAGAACAGGAACACAAACCTAGGGGGTGGAAAGAATATTATTTCTATAGTTGCCATAGCAAACCATGCACAAAGAATGAATAGAAACTAGAAGAACAATATCTCACCAAACAGAGGATATCAACAAAGATATAAAAACAGCAAAAAAGGGACCAAATAGAAATTCTGGTGCTGAAAAGTATAATAACTCTAATTAAACATTTACTAGAATGGTTCATATCAAATTTGAGACAGGAGAAGGAAGGAAGAATCAGTGAACACAAGGAGAAGTCAATTAAGATTATTCAGTCTGAGAAGCAGAAAGTGAAAAGAAGGAGAAAAATAGAGCTTAAGAGACATATGAGACACCATAAAGCATATGAACACACTCTTGATGAGAATCTCAGAGGGAGACGAGAGAGAAAAAGGGGAAAAAATAATCTTTGAAAAAGTGTTGCCCAGAAATTTAACAGACATGAATACACAATCCAAAAAGCCTAATGAGCTATATACAAGATGAACTCAGAAATATTCAAAAATTATAATCAACTTGCCAAAAATGAAGACAAAGATAAATTCTTGGAAGTAGCAAGACAGAAGCAATTGTTATATACAGAAATCCTCAATAAGATTAACAACTAATTTCTTTTTTGAAACCATAGAAGCCAGTTGGCAATGGGATCATATATTTAAAGTACTAAAAGAAAAAGAGAAACCTGTCAACTAAGAATTCTATATCTACCAAACTATCCTTTTAAAATGAATAAAAATTAAGATAGTCCCTTATTAAAAAATAAATAAGGCATTCATTACTAGTATACTCACACAACAAGAAATGTTAAAAAAAACTCCATTAGGTTGAAATAAAAAGATATTTAATACAAACTCAAAGCGATATGAAAAAATAAAAAGCATCAGAAAAAATAGCTAAAGATCTAAATAAAAGCCAGTGCTTTTGCGTTTTTTTATATCTTCTTTTTTTCCCTACAGGATTTATAGATAACAGCAAAAAATAATCATTATTAACCTGTGATAAAGGGAATACAATGTATAAATATATAACTGGTATAATGAAAACATAAGGAGGGGATAGATGAAGCTGTTAAGGAGCAGAATTTTTGCATAATATTGAAATGATTCAAATCATTTCAAACGCGATTGTTATAAACTTGTATGTTCATTGCAATATCTATGTTAATTACTAACAAAACACTAAAAAAGAAATTTATATAGAAATAAAAGTGATGCACTAAAATTTAATTACAGGGAAATACCGAGATGGAGAAATATAGGAATACAGGTATAAAAAAGGCATAAGATACATAGCAACAAATAGCAAACAGACAAAAGTAACTTCTCCTTTATCAATAATTACTATTTATTTATTTATTTATTTATTAGGAGATGGAGTCTCACTCTGTTGCCTAGGCTGGTCTCAAACTTTTGACTTCAAGTGATCCTCCTGCCTTAGCCTCCCAAATATGTGAAATTACATGCGTGTGCCACTGTATCTGGTAGAATTGTAAAATGTAAATGGCTTAAGCTCTCCAATTAAAAGTCAGAGATTGGGAGAGTACATAAAAATCATCCAACTATACGCTCTTTACAAAAGACCAAATATTTGACAAGGCAAAGTGAAAGGATGGAAAACATAATACATTCAAAAAGAAATCTGGGGTGGCTATACTAATAGCGGACAAATTAGACATAAAAAATTGTAACAACAGAAAAAGAAGGACATTATGTACTAATAACATGGTCAATTCACCTACAGGATGTAACAGTTATAACCATATATGCACCTAACAACAGAACCCTAAAATATATAATGCTCAAACCAACAAAATTGAAGTGAGAATTAGACACTTCTACAATAATAGTTGTGGATTTAATATCCCATGTACCATAATAAATGAACATTTACACTGAAAGTCAATAAAATGTTAAGGAGTTTAACAGCTCTATAAACCAACCAGATATAAAAGACATATGCAGAGCATTCAATTCATCAATAGCGGAACAGACATTCTTCTCAAGGCTGCATGGAACATTCTTTAAGTGTAATCATATGTTAGGCCACAAAATAAGTTTCAATAATTATAAAATAGCAAAATCACACAAAGCACACATATTGAGATCATGAAGTATCACCTTGTTAAGGTGACAATATTATCCAAAGCAATGCCAAATTCAATGCAATTCCTATTAAAAACTCAAGGCTTTTCTCTCTCTCTCTTTTTCTTTCTTTCTTTCTTCTTTTCTTTCTCACAGAAGTGGAAAAGTGTACCTTAATTTTGAAAATGCAAAACAAAGTTGGAAGCTTCACACTTCCCAGTTTTAAAATGTACTATAAATCTAAAGTAATCAAAAGAGTGTGGTACTTACATTAGGAGAGACATACAGATCAATGGAATAGACTGACAGTCCAGATGTGAAGCCATAAGTCTATGGTCAAATGATTTTTGACAGGGGTGCCAAGGTAATTCAATAAGGGTAAGAATAGGCTGTTTAACAAATGATGTTAGGACAACTGGATATCTGTATGCAAAAAAAAAAAAAAGAAATTGGACCTTTTTACCTTATACCATGTAAAAAAATTAACTCAAAATAGATCAAAGACATAGATAAAAAAGTTATAACCAACAAAAAAAATCTCACAACAAAACATATGGGTAAATCTTTATGACCTTGAATTTGGCAATGGATTCTTAAATATGGTATCAAAAACACAAGCAACAAAAGAAAAAGCAGAAAAATGAGACTTAGTCAAAACTAAAAACCTTTGTTCATCAAAAGACATTATCAAGAAAGTAAAAAGACAACTTAAAGAATGGGATAAAATATTTACAAATTACATATTTGAGAAGGGTACAGAATATATAAAATACTCAACAACCGAAATACAAACAACTCAATTTCATTTTAAAAAATGAAAAAAGACTTAAATAGATATTTCTTGAAGAAATATGTGTAAGTGCCCTGAAGGTACATGAAAATATATTTAACAACATTGATCATTAAGTAAAAGCAAGTCAAAAATCACAGTGAGATACAATTCACACCCACTAGGATGGCTATACATGTTTTTTAAATTAAATAACTAATTTCTTCATTATTAAAGTAAGCTTTAGGTAGAAGGTGGGATTTGGGAGAGCCCTTACTTTTTTTTTTCTTTTTATTATACTTTAAGTTCTGGGATACCTGTGCAGAGCGTGCAGGTTTGTTACATAGGTATACACGTGCCATGGTGGTTTGCTGCATCCATCAACCTGTATTCTACTTTAGATATTTCTCCTAATGGTATCCCTCCCCTAGCCCCCACCCACTGACAGGCCCCAGTGTGTGATGTTCCCCTCCCTGTATCCATGTGTTCTCATTGTTCAATTCCCACTTATGAGTGAGAACATGCAATGTTTGGCTTTCTGTTCCTGTGTTAGTTTGCTGAGAATGATGGTTTCCAGCTTCATCCATGTCCCTGCAAGGGACAGGAACTCATCCTTCTTTATGGCTGCATAGTATTCCATTGTGTGTATGTGCCACATTTTCTTTATCCAGTCTATCACTGATGAACATTGGGTTGATTCCAAGTCTTTGCTATTGTGAACAGTGCTGCAATAAACATACATGTTCATGTATCTTTATAGTAGAATGATTTATAATCATTTGGGTATATACCCAGTAATAGGATTGCTGGGTCAAATGGTAGTTCTGGTTCTAGATCCTTGATCGATCGCCACACTGTCTTCCACAATGGTTGAACTAATATACTCTCCCACCAACAGTGTAAAAGCATTTATATTTCTCCACATCCTCTCTAGCATCTGTTGTTTCCTGACTTTTTAATGATTGCCATTCTAACTGGCATGAGATGTATCTCCTTGTGGTTTTGATTTGCATCTCTCTAATGATGAGTGATGATGAGCTTTTTTTCATGTGTTTGTTGGCCATGTAAATGTCTTCTTTTGAGAAGTGTCTGTTCATTTTCTTCGTCCACTTTTTGATGGAGTTCTTTTTTTTTTTTTCTTGTAAATTTGTTTAAGTTCCTTATAGATTCTGGACATTAGAACTTTGTCAAATGGATAGATTGCAAAATTGTTCTCCCATTCTGTAGGTTGCCTGTTCACTCTGATGATAGTTTCTTTTGCTGTGCAGAAGCTCTTTAGTGTAATTAGATGCCATTTGTCAATTTTGACTTTTGTTGCCATTGCTTTTTGTGTTTTAGTCATGAAGTCTTTGCCCATGCCTATGTCCTGAATGGTATTGCCTAGGTTTGCTTCTAGCGTTTTTACGGTTTAGATCTTACATTTATGTCTTTAATCCATCTGGAGTTAATTTTTGTATAAGGTGTAAGGAAGGGGTACAGTGTCAGTTGTCTGCATACGGCTAGCCAGTCTTCCCAACACCATTTATTAAATAGGGAATCCTTTCCCCATTGCTTTTTTTTTTCAGGTTTGTCAAAGATCAGATGGTTGTAGATGTGTAGTGTTATTTCTGAGGCCTCTGTACTGTTCCATTGGTCTATATATCTATTTTGGTATCAGTACCATGCTGTGTTGGTCACTGTAGCCTTGTAGTACAGTTTGAAGTCAGGTAGCATGATGCCTCCAGCTTTGTTCTTTTTGCTTAGGATTGTCTTGACTATACAGGCTCTTTTATGGTTCTACATGAAATTTGAAGTAGTTTGCTTTCTAATTCTGTGGAGAAAGTCAATGGTAGCTTGATGGGGATAGCACTGAATCTATAAATTACTTTGGTCAGTATGGCCATTTTCACAATATTGATTCTTCCTATTCCTGAGCATGGAATGTTTTTCCATTTGTTTGTGTCCTCTCTTATTTCCTTGAACAGTGGTTTGTAGTTCTCCTTGAAGAGGTCCTTCACATCACTTGTAAATTGGAATCCTAGGAATTTTTTTTTTTTGTAGCAATTGTGAATGGGAGTTCACTCATGATTTGGCTCTTGTTTGTCTATTATTGGTATATAGGAATGCTTGTGATTTTTGCACATTGATTTTGTATCCTGAGACTTTGCTGAAGTTGCTTATCAGCTTAAGGAGATTTGGGGCTGAGATGATGGGGTTTTCTAAATATACAATCCTGTCATCTGCAAACAGGGACAATTTGGCTTCTTCTCTTCCTAATTGAATACCCTTTATTTCTTTCTCTTGTCTGATTGTCCTTGCCAGAACTTCCAATACTGTGTTGAATAAGAGTGGTGAGAGAGGGCATCCTTATCTTGTGCCAGTTTTCAAGCTTTTGCCCATTCAGTATGATATTGGCTGTGGGTTTGTCCTAAACAGCTCTTATTATTTTGAGATACATTCCATCAACATCTAGTTTATTCAGAGTTTTTAGCATGAAGCGGTGTTGAATTTTATTAATGGCCTTTTCTGCATCTTTTGAGATAATTATGTGGTTTTTGTCATTTGTTCTGTTTATGTGATGGATTATGTTTATTGATTCGTATATGTTGAACCAGCCTTGCATCCCAGGGATGAAGCCAACTTGATCGTGCTGGATAAGCTCTTTGATGTGCTGCTGGATTCGATTTGCCAGTATTTTATTGAGGATTTTTGCATCAATGTTCATCAGGGATATTGGCCTGAAATTTTCTTTTTTTTGTTGTGTCTGTGCCGGGTTTTGGTATCAGGATGATGCTGGCCTCATAAAATGAGTTAGGGAGGAGTCCCTCTTTTTCTATTGTTTGGAATAGTTTCAGAAGGAATGGTACCAACTCCTCTTTGTACCTCTGGTAGAATTCAGCTGTGAATCCAGCTGGTCCTGGGCTTTTTTTTTTTTGGTTGGTAGGCTGTTAATTATTGCCTCAATTTCAGAACTTGTAATTGGTCTATTCAGGGATTCGATTTCTTCCTAGTTTAGTCTTGAGAGGTTGTATGTGTCCAGGAATTTATCCATTTCTTCTACATTTTCTAATTTATTTGTGTAGAGGTGTTTATAGTATTCTCTGATGGTAGTTTGTGTTTCTGTGGGATCAGTGGTGATATCCCCTTTCTCATTTTTTATTGTGTCTATTTGATTCTTCTCTCTTTTCTTCTTTATTAATCTGGCTAGCGGTCTATCTATTTTGTTAGTCTTTTAAAAAATACCAGCTCCTGGATTCATTGATTTTTTTTATGTGTTTTTTTGTGTCTCTGTCTCCTTTAGTTCTGCTCTGATCTTAGCAATTTCTTGTCTTCTGCTAGCTTTAGAATTTGTTTGCTCTTGCTTCTCTAGTTCTTTTAATTGTGATGTTAGCATGTCAATTTTAGATCTTTCCCATTTTCTCCTATGGGCATTTAGTGCTATAAATGTCCCTCTAAACACTGCTTTAGCTGTGTCCCAGAGATTCTGGTACATGGTGTCTTTGTTCTTACTGGTTTCAAAGAACTTTTTTATTTCTGCCTTAATTTCATTATTTACCCAGTAGTCATTCAGGAGCACATTGTTCAGTTCCCATGTAGTTGTGAGGTTCTGAGGGAGTTTCTTAATCCTGAGTTCTAATTTGATTACACTGCAGTCTGAGAGACTGTTTGCTATGATTTCCATTCTTTTGCATTTGCTGAGGAGTGTTTTACTTTCAAGTATGAGGTCAATTTTTAGAATAAGCATGATGTGGTGCTGAGAAGAATGTATATTCTGTTGATTTGGGGTGGAGAGTTCTGTAGATGTCTATTAGTTCTGCTTGGTCCAAAGCTGAGTTCAAGTCCTGAATGTCCTTGTTAATTTTCTGTCTCATTGATCTGACTAATATTGACAGTGTGATGTAAAAGTCTCCCACTACTATTGTGTGGGAGTCTCAGTCTCTTTGTAGGTCGCTAAGAACTTGCTTTATGAATCTGGGTGCTTCTGTATTGGGTGCGTATATATTTAGGATAGTTAGTTCTTCTTGCTCTCATCCCTTTACCATTATGTAATGCCCTTCTTTGTCTTTTTTTTATCTTTGTTGGTCTAAAGTCTGTTTTATCAGAGGCTAGGATTGCAACTCCTGCTTTT
Source organism: Homo sapiens (assembly GCF_000001405.40). Classification (NCBI taxonomy): domain Eukaryota; kingdom Metazoa; phylum Chordata; class Mammalia; order Primates; family Hominidae; genus Homo; species Homo sapiens. The sequence goes on from NC_000010.11 coordinate 85,278,232, forward strand.
TTTGCTTTCCATTTACTTCCTCCATCCCTTTATTTTGAGCCATGTGTGTCTTTGCATGTGAGATGGGTCTTCTGAATACAGCACACCAATGGGTCTTGATTCGATCAAATTTGCCAGTCTCTGTCTTTTAATTAGGGCATTCAGCCCTTTTACATTTAAGGTTAACATTGTTATATGTGAATTTGATCCTGTCATTATGATGCTAACAGGTTTTTCTGCCCATTAGTTGATGCAGTTTCTCCATAGTTTCAATGGTCTTTACAATTTGGTATGTTTTTGCAGCGGCTGACACCAGTTTTTCCCTTCTGTATTTACTGCTTCCTTCAGGAGCTCTTGTAAGGCAGGCCTGGTGGTGACAAAATCTCTCAGCATTTGCTTGTCTGTAAAGGATTTTATTTCTCATTCTCTTATGAAGCTCAATTTGGCTGGATATGAAATTATGGGCTGAAAATGCTTTTCTTTAAGAATGTTTAATATTGGCCCCCACTCTCTTTTGGCTTGTAGGGTTTCTGCTGAGTCTGAAACACTGTTAGTCTGATGGGCTTCCCTTTGTGGGTTACCTGACCTTTCTCTCTGGCTGCCCTTAACATTTTTTCCTTCATTTCAACTTTGGTCAGTCTGACGATTATGTGTCTTGGGGTTGCTCTTCTCAAGGAGTATTAGTGGTGTTCTCTGTATTTCCTGAATTTGAATATTGGCCTGTCTTGCTACGTTGGGGAGGTCCTCTGGATAATATCCTGAAGAGTGTTTTCCAACTTGATTCCATTCTTCCCGTCACTTTCAGGTACACCAATCAGACGTAAGTTTGGTCTTTTCACATAGTCCCATATTTCTTGGAGTCCTTGTTCATTCTTTTTCATTCTTTTTATCCCTAATCTTGTCCTGATGCTTTATTTCATTAAGTTGATCTTCAATCTCTGATATCCTTTCTTCCGCTTGATCGATTCGGCTATTAATACTTGTGTATGCTTCACGAAGTTCTCATGCTATGTTTTTCAGCTCCACCAGCTCATTTATGTTCTTCTCTAAACTGGTTACTCTAGTTAGCAATTCCTCTAACCTTTTTTCAAGGTTCTTAGCTTCCTTGCATTGGATTAGAACATGCCCCTTTAGCTCAGAGGAGTTTGTTATTACCCACCTTCTGAAGCCTACTTCTGTCAATTTGTCAAACTCATTCTCTGTCCAGTTTTGTTCCCTTGCTGGCAAGGAGTTGTGATCCTTTGTAGAGGAGGTATTCTATTTTTTGGAATTTTCAGCTATTTTGCCCTGGTTTTTCCTCATCTTTGTGGATTTATCTACTTTTGGTCTTTGATGCTGGTGACCTTCGGATGGGGTTTTTGTGTGTGTGTCCCTTTTGTTGATGTTGATGCTATTCCTTTCTGTTTGTTAGTTTTCCTTCTAACTGGCCCGTCTGGTGCAGGTCTGCTGGAGTTTTCTGGAGGCCCACTCCAGACCCTGTTTGCCTGAGTATCACCAGCGGAGCCTGCAGGACAGCAAAGATTGCTGCTTGTTCCTTTCTCTGGAAGCTTTATCCCAGAGGGGCACCTGCCAGATGGCAGCTGGAGCTCTCCTGTATGAGGTGTCTGTTGACCCCTGCTGGGAGGTGTCTGCCAGTCAGGAGGCACGGGGTCAGGGACCCACTTGAGGAGGCAGTCTGTCCCTTAGCAGAGCTCGAGGACTGTGCTGGGAGATCTGCTTCTCTTTTCAGAGCCAGAAGGCAGGAATGTTTAAGTCTGTAGAACTGTGCCCACAGCCGCTCCTTTCCCCCAGGTGCTCTGTCCCAGGGAGATGGGAGATTTATCTATAAGCCCCTGTCTGTGGCTGCTGTCTTTCTTTCAGAGATGCCCTTCCCAGAGAGGAGGAATCTAGAGAGGCATTCTGGCTACAGTGGCTTTGGTGAGCTGCTGTGGGCTCCGCCCAGTTTGAAGTTCCTGGTGGCTTTGTTTACACTGTGAAGGGAAAATTGCCTACTCAAGCCTCAGTAATGTGGATGCCCCTTCCCCCACCAAATTCCAGCGTTCCAGGTTGACTTCAGACTGCTGTTTTGGCAGCGAGAATTTCAAGCCAGTGGATTTCAGCTTGCCAGACTCCATGGTGGTGGGATCCACTAAGCTAGACCACTTGGCTCTCTGGCTCCAGCCCAACAGTTCTGTCTCACTGGCAGTCCAGACGCCTCTGTGGTATATAAAAAAATCTCCTGCAGCTAGCTGGGTGTCTGCCCAAATGGCCACACAGCTTTGTGCTTGAAACCCAGGGCTGTGGTGGTGTAGGCACCTGAGGGATTCTCCTGGTCTGCCAGTTGCGAAGACCTTGGGGAAAGCATAGTATCTGGGCCAGAGTGCATCATTTATCATGGCACATTTATCATGGCCATTTATCATGGCTTCCCTTGGTTAGGGGAGGGGAGTTCCCTGACCCCTTGCTCTTCCCAGGTGAGGCAACGCCCCACCCTGCTCTGGCTCGCCCTCCATGGCTTGCACCCACTGTCTAACCAGTCCCAATGAGATGAGGTGGGTACCTCAGTTGGAAATGGAGAAATCCCCCACCTTCTGCTTTGATCTCACTGGGAGCTGCAGAGGGGAGCTGTTCCTATTTGGTCATCTTGCCAACCACCCACAGCTATACGTGTTTTAAAAATGGATAATAACAAGTATTGGCAAGTATGTGGAGAAATTGAAACTCTTATGCGTTGCTTCTAGGAATGTTAAACAAGGTATCCATTGTGAATAAGTAAGTTTGATGGTTTCTCAGAAAGTTAAATATAGAGTTACCATAAGACCCAGCAATTTAAGTGCTAAGTATATAACCTCCAAAATTGAAAACAGATACTTAAACAAAAACTTGTATGTGAATGCTCACAGTAACACTATCCATAATAGTCAAAAAGTGGAAACAACCCAAATGTTCAAACTGAAAAATTGTTTTTCTTATAAAAAGGTATATACATATGGTGCTATATTGTCCAGCCAAGGATAAAGAACTGATAAAGAACTGATACATGCTAAAACATGGAGGAAACTTGAATTATGTTAGGTGAAAGAATCCAGTCACAAAATGTCACATATTTTATGATTCAATTTATATGTGTTTTTTTTTAGTTTGGGGTGCTATAACAAATTGCCATAGACTAATGGCTTAAACAAAAACTATTTAATTCTCACAGTCTTGGAGGCTGGGATTTCCAAGGTAAAGGTGTTGGCAGATCAAGTGCTTGGTGAAGGCCCACTTCTTGATTTGGATGTGGCTGTTTTTTGTTGTATCAGCATGTGGTGAAGAGCAGAAAGAACAAGCTCTTACGTATATTCTTAGAAGAGCACTAATCCTATTCATGAGGGACCCATCTTCATGACCTCCCAAAAGCCTATCTTTTGGCATGAACTTGCCAAAGGTTCCACCTCCTAATACCATCACATCAGGGGTTAGGTTTTCAAAATATGAAATTTGGGAATAGGGCACAAATATTCAATGCATAGTAATATTAAATATTCCAAACAGGTAAATCCATAGAAAAAGAAAGAGATTAATGTTTGCTAGAGTCTTGGAGGAGAGGGAAATAGAAAGTGACTGCTTAATCGATATGAGATTTCCTTTTGGAATGATAAAAATGCCTTAGAACTAAATAGAGGTGATCATTGCATCCTGAATGTTCTAAGTGTTTATTTCCCAAATAAATGGTTCTAAATTGTTTATTTTAAAATGCTGACATTTTTGTTGTACAGGTTTTACTTCAATTAAAATGAAACAGCATCACACTTTCTCCCAACTTGCAGGCTGTAACTTTTAATGTTAAATTAGTTTATTTCTGCATCCATTTGGGCAAAAACATTTAGAAAAGCACAAAATACTCTGCACACATCATACAATCACATATATGTGACTATATATAAAACCATTGGGTTCATATCATTTCCTTCAACCTATTCACAAAATACTTCACTTATATAGCAGTAGATATTGATGACTCATTTACTCCAGAGTAAAAAAGTCACAGATATTCATGAATATTGTCACTTTCATATGGTTCCTCAATGTCTACAAGATACATTTTATATACTACTTACTAAGCTCTTTAACACCTGGTCTATGTCATTCCTAGTTGTCATCAGTCTTTCACTCATTATGGCTCCGCTTCAGCCACATGCCTCCTATAGTTACCTAAATATATTCAATTGTGGGCATGCTCATGTTTCTATCTTAAATGTTTGTGACCCCTCTGAAGGCATGGGAATAGTTACACAGCTGTCAAGATTTGGGTCAAGCCATTGTTCCTTTGGAAGACTGTTCTATTCACATATCAGCAGAGGGGATAAACTGCTACTTATTTATGTTTACAAGTCATAGTTACTCAAAAGTCAGTGCCTGGAGCAGCAGCATCAGCATCATGTGAAAGCTTGTTACAAATGCAGAATCTTAGGACCCATCTCAGAGCTACCAAACCAGATCCTGTATTTTATGAAGAATCCCAGATGTCATGTGCACATTAAAGTTCTGGAAGTACACAATGCAGACCTCTAATTTTATACTCACATTTATTACATCATTCTCTTTATTACTCTCTATGAACTGCAGACTGCTAAGCTCCTTTGAAGGTAGGAAATCTGTTTTATGCATCATTGCATCCCCACATGAACAGTTCTGGGCTCACATCCTTCCTCAGAAAATATTTTCATAATTAATAAAGAAATAAAGTGATTTCTGTAATTTCCAAAGAAGAACTTCCTTCTGCAAGTAAACCACCAGGAGGCTTGGTTGGGAAAATCTTAGAGTCTGAGCTCACCTATCTGCAAGTTTTCCACGTCAGGATTTAAGCAGCATCATGAAGCTAATAAAGCTAACAGAGTAATGAGAAGGAAATAACAGAAGCCAGGCGTCTTTTGCTACCCTAGAGCAGAGGATAATTTGACAGTTCAATGCCCCCTGTTTGCCAAAATACTTACATGGCCCATTTCTCATTATGACAAGTGGCTCAGAGGGGAGGCATGTCACTTTGGGTGACAGAGGACCATGTGGGAAAGTACAGTTCAGCATGTTGCTGCTGGGCTTGGCAGACAATGAGTGACAGGAGGTGTTGGGAGGATTACCCATTCTAAGGCTCTTTTCAACTCCTCATACTGTGCTCAAGCCTGAATAAAAACACATCACTGGAAATGTCCTTCTGGTACTCTGGGCTAAGTTTCTTATCACCTTTTCTCCTTTTTCTGCTTTCTCCAAATATCTATCATCACAATTGAAAAGATAGTTAAGGCACAATCCTGCCCTCAAAAAATAACCAGTGTAGTAATAAAGGTGCTTGTAGGCAAATCATGGAAACATACTTAGCTAAGTACTATGGTGGAGGTATATTCAAGGAGATAGAGAGGTGCATGTAGTTAAATAATGCTGCAAGGAAAGATGAAGGAAGATGGAGCAGAGGGAATGAGGAAGTGGAAGGTACGTGGGTAGACAGAGTCAGTATTAAGAGAGCCTTGTATAACTTACTAAGGTGTTTGGACTCTATTCTCCATGTGGTGTTTCTCATACTTTTATTATATGAAACACAGCAAGAAATACATTTCATTTCATGACTTAATAGACATACATATAATTGAAGCAAAAGTTACATGAAATAATATTCAATCACATTAAGTATCTTAAACTCCTGTAATTTCCATTATATTCTATTTTATGTTTTTAATACCGTACTTGTTATGATTTTCTCTCAGTGTCTGCTTTCAAGAGGACCTACACTGTGACAGTGAGTATCCTCATCTTGCTGTAGATCTCAGAGAAAAGCTGTGACATTTTCTCTATGATTTCTATAGATTACCTTCTTAGATTAAGAAAGTTATCTTCTGATTAAAGTTTAGCATGGTTTTTTTAAAATAAATAAATGTTAAATTTTATAAAACTTTATTGAGGTGATAATTTTTTCTATTAATTTAATAATGTGTACATTAAATTATTTGTTTTTCTAACATCTAAAAACTTGTGTTCATGAGATAAACTTCATTTTGGCATGATATATTATCCTTTTTATGTATTTCTGGATTCAGTTTGCTACTATTTGCTTAAAACTTTTCAAAATTTATATATGGAAATTTATTTTATGTACAGTTCTATGAGTTTTGACTCATAGATGTATAGAGTTGAGTAATGTATAGAGTTGAGTAAACAAAATCACCTGTCAAAAAATAATAGTCAGAGGAGCGATATTAGCAACCTGGTGAAATAGGAAACTCCTTACCCTGACAATGTCCTCCAGACAATGAAATAAACATCTATTCACGATCACTTTTCTCTGAGAGAAATCAGAGACCAGTTGAGTGACTCCTACCCAATAGACAACCAAGAAAACATTTACGTAGAAAGGGTAGTAAAAGATGAAGCACACTTGGGCACAGGCCCCCACCCCAGACATTGCTCCATAAAATCAGGAAAGGAATTCCCAATACCCGGATTCTCCCTGTGGATAGGAGGTTTTAAGACCTCACATACAGTGCACCAGCTCTCAGGTTTTGGGGGATTGGCTCCTAATTCACCAACTCTGAGAGCAAAAGGTATTAAACATATGTGAGTCTCTCAGACCCAAATGAAAAAAGTGGCAGTTTTACATAAGCATGCAAGCACTTCCAAGGGCTGCATCCCCTAGGAACAGTACAAGAGAGAGTACATAAAAATTCAGCCCCTTGTTTCTTCCCTGAAAAGGTTTATGACACACTTTTCCAGCGGGCACTTGGTTAGCTGGATTCTTGCATCACAGGGTTAAAGGGCAGAAAAACATTAGCTAACCAGCAGCCCCAGAAGCAGATTGTCACTTCTCAGGCCTACTCCCTTAGCATACCAAAGTTATAACTCCAAAACTATTAATCCATCTCGGAAGAAGTTTGTCTACAAAGTGAGCACTCACACTCTTGTAGCTTCCACTGAGAAACTGTACCCTAAACCCCCTCGCTCTGGGAGCAGTGGGGACTAAGTATATGTGAGTATCTCTAGGCCACAGAAAAAAAGGGCAGTTTTTATATGGCATGTAAGCACTTTCAGGGCTTCATCTCCTAGAAGCAGTGCAAAAGGGGGTTTTAAAATGCAGCTTCTTGTTTTTCCCCAGAAGGGATTTATGCCATGCATTAAATGTCTAAATTTTTTACAGCTACTTTTCAAAGGATTCCATCCTAAACCTCTTAGCTCTTGGATCAAAAAGGACTAGGTATCCATGAATCTCCTTAGATAACAAAATAAAGAAGCAGTTTTAAGTGGATGCATAAACACCTCCAAGGGATACACTCCCTTGAAGATGTGCAGAAAAGATGTAGAAACATGTAGCTTTCATTTTTTTTTTTTTTCTGGACAGAGCTTACTATACACACTTTCAGTGGCTCCTTAAAAGCCTGGCTTGTAAGGAACTTGCACTGGGGGCTAACAAACAAAAAGAAAAGAAAAAAAAACCTGTCTGGCAGCCAGAGCCAGAGCTTGGGACTTTATGAACCTTCTATGTGGCCTGCCTCAGTAATAAATCCAGGTCTACTTATTCTTCCTGGAAGGAGTTTGGCCATGCAGTGACTGTCTTACCTCTCACTCAAGGGATTATATCCTTGATAACTTAACCCTCATTGTCAATGGGAATTTGAATTCTTAAATAACGCCAGATCAAAAAATGTAAACAATTGGATGTACCATGGGCCCACTTCCAATAGCTGTTGCCCCAGTATCAGAGGGAGATGCCTGAACATGACTACAAACATGTGCCACAGATTTTTTCCCCCAGCTAAGTGCAGAGACACTGGGAGATAAACACCCATCCTAAGCTTCAAAATGAAGATAGAAGTAACTGAAATTCACATTCAACACCCCAACTGTTTTAGCTACAATAGTCTGGCATCTACCTCACTAGTCTAAGGGTAGTTACAGAATATGGCACATCCTAAGCTCCAGGGGGTCACAAAAACAGACAGCAGTCTGGACACAGATTTGAGAAGCACCATAAAATCTCTGGCTGGATGAGTTGGTGATTCTTCTCCTACACAGGCCAGTCTGACAAGACTAGGGTAGGTAGTTGTCTTATCTAATGTGCAGAAACCAACAGAGGGAGTCAAGGGAAAATACAGAAACAGGGCAAAATATTCCAAATAAAAGAAAAAGTAAGTCTTCAAAAATTTACCCAAGTAAATTGTGTATATGTGATTAACCTAACAGGAAATTCAAAATGATGTTTATAAAAATGCTCACCAATGTTAGGACAGCAATGCAAGAACAAACTGAGAATTTCAATAGTTAGAAAGTATAAAGAAGTACCAAATAGAAATCATAGAGTTGAAGAGTACTATAATTGAGTTGAAAAATTGATAGAGGGAATTCAAGAGAATCCTATCTAGATTGAGAGGAGGAAAGGATCAATGAGCTCAAAAACTTTTCTCTGAAAATCATGTGACAAAGAGCAAAAAGAAAAGCACAGTAAAAAAAATTGAGGTTTAAGAAACATATGGGATGTAATCAAACATTACAACACATGCAATATTGGTGTTCCAGAAGGAGAAGCAACAAAGAAAAAAAAACAGAAAACATTTAAAATATAATAGTAGAAAACTTCCTAAGCCTGAAAAAGATAGTAAAAATTCAGATCCAGGAAGCCCAAAGGAGACCAAGTAAGATGAATATAAAGAAACTCACACAAAGAAATATCATAACCAAATTGTCTGCTAAAGACAGAGTTTTGAAACCAGCAAGAGTAAAGTGAGTTGTTACGCTGAAAGGAACCACCAAAAGACTATCAGTGGACTTGTTTCAGTAGAAACTACAGGTCAGAATGAAGTAGGATGATATACTCAAAATCCTGAAAAAAAAATTTTTGAACCAAGAATGTTATACCTAGCAACCCTGTCTTTCAAAAATAAATGGTGATAAAGACGCTTAGACAAACAAAATTTGACTTTGTCACCAAATTTAACATTAAAAGAAATATTAACGGGGTTTCTTTAAGCTGAAGGAAAAAGGCACTAACTAGTAACAAAATTTATGGAAGCATAAATGTAACTCATAAAAATATGTACATTGTCAAATCCAGAATTGTAATGGTTGTAGGTAAATCATTTAAACTTCTAGTATAAAAGTTAAAAGACAAAACTATTAAAAACAAAAGTTACAATAATTTGTTAGGAATCCAATTTTTAAAGGCCAATTGTAACATCAAAAACACAAAGTGTGAGAGGAGGGTTAGTAAAAGTGTGGAGTTTATATATGTAATCAAAGTTAAGATGTTAGCTCAATATAGCTAGTTACAATTATAGTATATTTAATGTAAACCTCAGGGTAGCCATAAATCAAAATCCTGTAACATATACACAAAAGATAAAAAGATTCAAAGCATGTCATTACAGAAAGCCATCAAACCACAAAAGAAGAAAGGAATAGAGAAAGAAGTAAAGGATCTACAAAATAACAAGAATACAATATATAAAATGATACTAGTAAGTCCTTTCCTATCAATAATTACTTTAAATACAAATGGATTAAATTCTCCAATAAAGCAGCATAGAGTAGCTGAATAAATTTTAGAAAAACATGCACCTGTACAGTGCCAACATATGACTTACTTCACCTGTAAGGACATTTCATGCAGCCAAAAAACACATGAAAAAATGCTCACCATCACTGGCCATCAGAGAAATGCAAATCAAAACCACAAGGAGATATCATCTCACACCAGTTAGAATGGCAATCATTAAAAAGTCAGGAAACAACTGTTGCTGGAGAGGATGTGGAGAAATAGGGACACTTTTACTCTGTTGGTGGGACTGTAAACTAGTTCAACCATTGTGGAAGTCAGTGTGGCGATTCCTCAGGGATCTAGAACTAGAAATACCATTTGACCCAGCCATCCCATTACTGGGTATATACCCAAAAGACTATAAATCATGCTGCTATAAAGACACATGCACACGTATGTTTATTGCGGCACTATTCACAATAGCAAAGACTTGGAACCAACCCAAATGTCCAACAATGATAGACTGGATTAAGAAAATGTGGCACATATACACCATGGAATACTATGCAGCCATAAAAAATGATGAGTTCCTGTCCTTTGTAGGGACATGGATGAAATTGGAAATCATCATTCTCAGTAAACTATCGCAAGAACAAAAAACCAAACACCGCATATTCTCACTCATAGGTGGGAATTGAACAATGAGAACACATGGACACAGGAAGGGGAACATCACACTCTGGGGACTGTTGTGGGGTGGGGGGAGGGGGGATGGATAGCATTGGGAGATATACCTAATGCTAGATGACGAGTTATTGGGTGCAGCGCGCCAGCATGGCACATGTATACATATGTAACTAACCTGCACATTGTGCACATGTACCCTAAAACTTAAAGTATAATAATAATTTTTTAAAAAGTGAAGGAATGGAAAAGATATTTCATGCAAATAGAAACAAAAAGAAAGCAGTAGTTATACTTATTTTAGACAAAATAGGCTTTAGGTCAAAAATTGTAAAAAGAGGCAAAGATGGTCATTATAGAGTGATAAAGTGGTACAGCCATTAAGAGGATGTAATAATCACAAAAATATATCCACCTAATATCAGAGCATCTAAGCATATAAAACAAATATTAAGAGACTTGAAGAGAGACATAAACTGCCACACAGTAATAGTGAGAGATTTCAATAACCCACTTTCAACATTGAACAGATCATCCATGCAATACAATACATAGCACTAGACATGTCATTGAGATAGAAAGTCAACAAATATGGACTTAAATAGACTTTAGAACGTTTTGACCTAACAAATACCTACAGAATATTCTGCCTAACAACTACAGACTATACGTTCTTCTCATCAGCACATGGAACATACTTCAAGACTGACCATATGATATGTCACAAAGAAGTCTCAATAAGCTATTTAAAAATAAAAATCATATTATTTTTCTCAGACTGCAATATAACAAAAGTAGAAATCAATAACAAGAGGAACTCTGTAAATTATACAAATACATATAAATTAAACAACATGCTCCTCAACAATCTTTGGGAAAATGACAAAATTAGGATGAAATTTTAAATTGTTTAGAAAATGAATGAAAATGGAAACACAACATATTAAATCCTCTGTGATACAGCAAAAACAGTCTGAGAGGGAAGTTTATAGTGTTAAATGCCTACATCAAAAATATGGAAAGATTACACATTAATAATCTAATGTTGTACTTCAAGAAACTAGGAAAACAAGAACCAAACCAGACTCAAATCTAGTAGAAGAACAGAAATAACAATGATCAGATCCGAACTAAATGAGATAGAAGAAAAAAGTACAATTGATCAACAAAAGAAAAGTTGGTTCCTTGAAAAAAAGAAAATTGATACACTGCTAGATAGACAGACCAAGAAAAGAAGAGAGAAGATTCAAATAAACACAGTCAGAAAAGAAAAAGGAGACATTGCAACTGATACTATAGATATACAAAGATCATTATGGACTCCTGTTAACAACTATGTTCTCACAAGAAGAAAACCTAGAGAAAATTGGTGAATTTCTGGAAACATACAATCTCCCAAGAGTGAAGAAGCTACAGAAATTCTGAATAGACCAATAAAAAGTAATGAGACTGCATCAGCAATATAAAATACCACCACAGCAACAACAACAAAAAGCTGAGAACTAGATGGATTCACAGATGAATTCTATCAAACACGCAGAGAAGAACTTGTACCAATCCTCCCGGAACTGTTCCAAAAAATCAAGGAGGAGATAATTCTTCCTAACTCATTCTATAAAGCCAATATCACTCTGATGCCAAACCCAGACAAGAATGTAATGCAAAAATAAAACTAATAAAGACCAATATCTGATGAACATAGATGCAAAAATCCTCAACAAAAAAACTAGGAAATCTAATACAACAGCACATCACAGAAATAGTACACCATAGTCAAGTGGGTTTCATTCAAGGGATGCAAGAATGATTCAACATATGCAAATCAATAAATGTGATTTATTGCATAAACAGAATTAGGGACAAAAACCGTATAATCATCTCAATAGATACAAAAAAAGCATTTGATAAAATTTAGCATCTCTTTATGATAAAAACCCTCAACACACTGGGTGAAGAAGGAATATACCTCAATATAATAAAGGCCATATACAATAAACTCACAGACAACATTATAGTTAATGGGGAAAATTTGAAAGCATTTCCCCTGGAAATTGGAACAAGGCAAGGATACCCATTTTCACTATCTTATAAATTAAAATAATTTCTCAGTTGCATCAAAAAGTATTTAAAAGTAAACAAAGAAAGTAAGAGATCTGTATACTAAAATCTATAAAATATTGATGAAAGAAATTGACGATACAGAGAAATGGAAAGATATCCCATGTTCATGGATTGGAAAAATTAGTGTTGTTAAAATGTCTATACTACACAAAGTGATCTATGGACTTAATGCAATCCGTATCACAATTTCAATTTTATTCCTCATGGAAATAGGAAAAAATCCCTAAAACTTCACAAAAGATCCCAAGTAGCCAAAAGAATTTTGAACAAAAAGAACAAAGTTGAAGGCATCATATTATCAGATTTCAAAATATATTATATGGCTATAGTACTCAAAATAGCATGGTACTGGAAAAAAACAGACACCTTAACCAATGGAACAGGAGAGAGAGCTCAGAAATATACCCACATTTATAGTCAACTTAAATTATTTTCAATAAAGTTGCCAAGATCACATTTTGGAAAGGATTGATGCTGTGAAAACTAGATATCCACACACAGAAGCATGAAAATAGACCCTTACCTACTTTTTATACAAGAATCAACTTAAATGGATTAAAAACTTAAACCTAAGGCCGGAAACTATAAAACTACTAGAATAAAACATAGGAGAAGAGCTGCATAACATTGGTCCAGACAGAAATTTCTTGAATATGAGCTCTACCACACAGGCAATGAAAGCAATAATAGACACATGAGATTTCATCAAACTAATATATGTGGAATCTTAAAAAGTTTAACTCATGGAAGTGGGGAGTAGAATGGTGGTTTCCAGGGTCAAGATGGTAGGAGGTGGGCTGGGAAAGGGGAGACATTAGTCAATGAGTACAAGGTTACAGTTAGGAGAAATAAGTTCTCTTGTCCTATTGCAAATTATTGTGACTGAATGGTGGTCAATAATAGTGTATATTTCAAAATATTTATACAAAGGATTTTAAATGTTCTCACCAAAAACAAATGTTAAATATTTGAAGTGATGAATATGTTAATTTACTTGATTTGATCATTGTACAATGTATACATGTATCATACTATCATATTATATCCCACAAATATATACAATTATTATTTGTCAATTAAAAATAAAGTAAAACTTAGAAACTATAACAGCGTTTAAATTTCCAATTGTCTCATAAACGCCATTTTTTAGCAGTTTGCTTGAATCAGTATTCAAATAAGCCACACATTACAAATAGTTAATACATCTCTTAAGTCTCTTTTTAGACTTTAGGTTCTTCTCCATCTGTCTCTATCCCTCTTGCAATGTATTTGTTAAAGGAACTGGATCATACATCGTGTAAAGCTTCCCACATGCTGAATTTTGGTTGTTGTTGAACATTTGTTGTTCAACACATAATGTACATATCATTCTGTCTTTCATTGCTTTACTAAATTGAATTGGGAGACTTGATCTGTGATTCAAAGTTGATTAAAGTTGGAGTAAGACTTATTTATACAAAGATTTCTAAATTTCATCAGATGTGTGGTGTTTGCTTGCTGCTTTTTATAATGGAAGCAGTACTTAATGATCAGTGCTTGTAAGTATCAATTCATTAGGTTTTGCAAACTGATGACGTTCTAATTCTATTATTTCTTCTTCATTTATTAGCTGGAATACTTTTATAAAGAGAAAATTTGCCTCATCTTTGTTTCGGTGGCTTAGGTGTATGAAAAAAATGTGATAAAATGCTTACTTCTTTTCTTTTTTCCAAGTTTCCAATGGTGACCAAAGTATTTTTTCTTTTAGCACCATATTGTACTCAAATATGTATATATGTATGCAAATATATATAGTCATACTCAAATATGTATAAACAAAACATATGTATAGTTTTATACATATTTTTTGTGTTTAAATTCCTTGCAGAAATCAATTTTAGCGATGCTCAAATTACACCATTCTTGGCCAATGAAAACTTACTTGAACTGACTTCAAATTTGTTTAGACTTGATTCTAGTATTCTTTGATAGAGTTTTTGTTATTCCATGTAACAAGATATTCCAAAATGATCTTATATATTTCCTGTACCATACTTGGAATTTGTCATTCTGAAGAGCCATTTGGTGAAAAATGGCATTTCAAGATTACAGTCTGTGAACTATGGGGGCTCTTTACTACCAGCTTATCATATTGTATTTCTAAGGCATTTTCAGAGAACAAAGCTAGAAAACACACACACACACACACACACAATCCCTGTACTCTAGGAGGGATGATAGATTTAGAATATTATATGATAATTAATTTGATGGATTCCAAAATGCACATACCCTATAGTCTCAAAAACAAATAACACATAAATACATAACAGCACTATTACCAACATTTTTACTATACAACATTTGACTTTTTTTGTTATAGTTTCTTCACCTGAGAGTATATCATTGGGAATTTAGCATCAAATGACTGGGGTTTTAGAGTCAGTTGGTCAGTTGTAATAGTTCCACTCTGAATATGCCACCAAATAGGAAAACACTTAGTCTCATTTTTCCATATAACCTTTCAATTTCTTAAAGATCTGATTCTAAAATTAAATGTATAAAACAAAGAATATTCAAAGATGTCTAGTTTCTACCTGTGTGCCTTCTATAATATTCCCATTTTTCTCCCTCAGCTGTGGTTAAGCACGAGGGCACACACACACACACACACACAATTTTCTGTTCTTATTTTCCTTAGGTAAACGGCAGCCCCCTGTACATACTTTTATCCTCTTTATTTTCAGAAAACAAGATATTCCAGAAAACTCTCCAAATGTAGATATAGAGATAGTTCTTATAACTTTTAAAAACTGTCTGGTACTCCATTATGGGTACTGCATTTTATGCATCCAGTCTCCTACTGATGGCTACCTGGGTTATTTCTAGTCTATTAATATTTCAAATATTCATGCAAAGAATGCCTAGAGCATATGACCTTTTAATATTTTTGCCTGTGTATTTTCAGCATCAATTCCTAGAAGAGGAACTGTTGGGCCAAAAGGTAAATGAATAAGTAATTTTTCTTGAAATTACCCTCTATGCCTACACAGGCCTTTATTAATCTGCACTCTCACCGGAGATACGTGAGAATGCCTGATTTCTCCCCACAGCTTTGACAGCAGAACATGTTGTCAAACATTTCTTTTGTTGCCAATTTCACAGGTGAGAAATGGTATCTTATTTCGGTTTTACCTTTCATCCCTCTTATTGTGAGTGAATGTGAGCATATTTCCAAAGGATTATGAGTCATATGTGTTATGATTCATATTTTCTTTCTGTGAATTTTATGTTCATGTTCTTAAGAATTTTATGTTAATATTCTTAGTCCATTAGTCTTCAGAGATATTCTATTATTTCTCTATTTTTATGTCTTTTGTATATTGGAAATATCAATTTTTTGATACAAGTTGCAAATAATTTTTCAATTTGTCATTTTTTTTATACTTTACTTGGCTTTTCCTTTTTTGTAGCCATGCAAAAGTTTTTAGTTTTGCGTAATCACATCTGTCTATCTTTCCACTTATGGTCTCTAGATTTTGAGGGCTAGGAAAGTTGTTTGCAGTCTCCGATAATAAGAGAATTCCTCTAAAGATTCCTTTATTGCTTTTTCAACTTTTATTTTGCAATAATTATGGATGTGCAGAAAGTTGCAGAATTAATACAAAGAGGTCCATGTGCCTTTCACCCCATTTCCCCCAATGGTAATAGGTAGTTATACTACAATATCCACGTAATGAATTCAACATTAGCACAACTCACGCCATATTCAGATTTCACCCAATTTACAAGCACTTATTTGCACATATGTGTGTGTTTCAGTGCAATTTTATCACCTTTGTAGATTTGTTAGCCAACACACAATCAAAACACAGATTTGTTTCATCACCTTTAGTCCCCTTTCTCTAACTGCTGATAACCACAAATCTTTTCTTCATCTCTACACTATTGCCATTTTAAGAATGTTATAGAAATGGAATCCTACAGTATCTGCTCTTTAAAGATTGGGTTTTTCACTCAATACCTTTCCCCCTTGAGATCCACCCAAGTAGTTGTATCAATAATTTGTCCCTTTTTTATTGCTGAGTAGTTTTCCACTGTATAGATGTACCACAGTTTAACTGTCCACCCTCTG